>NC_000008.11:137224611-137526689 GCF_000001405.40 Homo sapiens | reverse complement strand
AAAGATCTGGTCAAAGATAAATAAAACCTATATAAAGCACAGAATTTTAAGATATTAACTTTCAAAGAGTGGGATTTTAAAGTTTACCTCTAAATGTTTGTCAATCCTCGCATAAAAAGGTGAGGAATAATTCCTTTTTCGTCGAATATAAACTTGCTTTTAGTGACTTTTATATAATGCATAGAATGAGGTGGAAGCAATGCAGTGTGACTTTTGAGGCTAAATTAGAAAAGGGGCTACATCTTCCACCTCTTTCTCTCTCTCTCTTACTCTCTCAGAATGTGTCTTTGGAACCCTGAGATGCCGTACCGGAAGTCCAGCTACCTGAAGCCACCATGCTGGGGAGTCCACAAAGCGAATGATACTGGAGACATTGTGCCAGCTGTTCTCACCCCCAGAGCCAGCTGAAGCCAAATGGAGCAGTAATGACCTACTGCCAATTCCTGTCCAAATAGTACATTCATAATTAAAATAAATATTGCTACAGCTGTATGTAAGTAAATATCAGTGAGGTTTGTTACATCAATAACAACAATACAATGAATCTTCATGGAGCAGGGGGATATATGATGAAAAGGAGAAATATATTTTAAGATCCTGTAGTTTGAAATTAAAACAAATATTCTTTACTGTAACAAACCCAGTTTTTTCCATTTCCAAGATTTATTTAGCCCCACATGCCTCCTGAGCCACCTCCTCAATGGAGAGCTCCAACAGTTCTGTCTCCTGGTCTTCTACAACTACTGTCTTTTTGTCTTTTTCAGTATTCCTCCAGGGGAGGATCAGCCCTCAGCAGGGACTCTATTGTACCCACTACAGGGAGCCAGCTACAACAGCTGCAGTGCTGTATAATCCAAGTGTCTACAGAGTCCCTGGTCCCTCTTGGCAATAATTAAACCAAAAGAGAGCACTGGTTATCACATGGTTTAATAGATAGGATAATTCGGCACGAGAAAATGTTAATTATAGTGGCCAATGTTATTTTTGCTACTCAGCATCTATTAACCCACCATCTGGTAACTTTAACTTAATTTTGTTTATTGTTTTCCAACTTGGAACGTAGGGCTTATTAAATGTGACCTCTCCACTGATTTGCAAATGTTGGATGCGAGGGAAAATACAAGATTTCCTTGTTGACACATACCACTAAATGTAAAAGCCTAGATCCATAAAGCCAGTTTCCAAGGCTTAAGGGTAAATGTTTTATACTAGAATATGCTATGAGCCTACAAGAAGAATCTAAATTAAACACAACCACATTTTTCTTGCTAATGCACCTACTACTTTATCTTAAGGCATTGGATTATTGTTATGGTGTTTAATCTGATTCTAGTGCAGCAAAAGTAGGGTTGTAATTAGGAACAACTTTAGAAAGCTTAAATGTTTATAGGACAGATTATTTGATTAGTTGTTACATTATGTAAACATTCAACAAAGTCATAACCGAGAGAGAGAGAAAGGGCAAGAGATAGAGTGAAGAGAGTTATGATTGTATTAAAAGTTCAGCTTTTCAGTCTGTTCAGGGATTAACTTGACTGATAGGCCTATGATCTGAACTGTAATTTAGGTTTTTCAAGGATAACATGTTCTCTGGAGTAGTAAGAAAATCTTGTTGCAGTATTTTTCCTATACTTCCCTTATACCTGCAGAACATAATTTTGTGTGCATGGGGAGGATATGATCACTGTACCTGAAGACTGCTCTTTATTGTAGTAATGGGGCCATGTGTCACTGTTTTCACGGAAAGTGTCCAGTTTCCAGGACCAAAAAAAGGACCCATTGTGCAAGGGAAAGTCATTATTAATTTAGATACAATTTTATTTCCGAACACTTGTCCTAGTAGTTCCATCTCCTCAAGACCTCTTGTTAAGCCAACCAAACAATAATGAAGGTCCCAACCCCATACACACTTTCTGACATGCAATCAAAAATCAATGTTGATATCTGGACAAGAAAATTAAAGTTATCTGCTGCTTCTACCCATACATTGCATCCATGTTCTTTTCTATTGAGACCTCGAAATGTCCAAGTCATTTTTCTGTTATTGCTTGTGGGTTTTGTTTGTTTGTTTGTTTGTTTGTTTTGAGACAGAGTCTGGCTCTGTCACCCAGGCTGGAGTGCAGTGGCATAATCTCCGCTCACTGCAACCTCCACCTCCCGGGTTCAAGCAATTCTCCTGCCTTAGTCTCCTGAGTAGTTGGGATTACAGGCGCATGCCACTACACCCAGCTAATTTTTGTATTTTTAGTAGAGACGGGGTTTCACCATGTTGGTCAGGCTGGTCTCAAACTCCTGACCTTGTGATCTGCCTGCCTCAGCCTCCCAAAGTGCTGGGATTACAGGTGTGAGCCACCACTTCCGGCCTTCACTTATTCTTTTAGTCTTTTTCTAACCAATTCTGTCTCATTCTTTCTTCCTATTTAATTATTTATTTATTACTCATTTATTTTTACTTGTTTCCATATAGATACGCAAGAGACTTTTAAGTATGCAGACTTATCAGCAGCCTTTTTGCCTTAATTCCATGGACATTGGGAAGTATATGTTCTATAGGTTTTTGACATGTCCTGTAGCAATAAGAGTTAGCTTTTATACCCTTAAATACTGGGGCTTAAAACAACAACCACATATTTAGCTTTAAAGTTTTGATTTGGGAATTTTATCTGAATTCAAACGGGTGATTCTTATTTCCCAGCTTCGCTCACTCATGTACGTGCAATCAGCTATTGAGTCATAAGGAGGCCAGATGGTCTAGCCCGCTGGAAAATAAAAGACAACATGAGCCAGGACGAGTTAGAATAACTTCCCACTACAAGCCACAGACACAAAAGAGAGCAAAGCCAAAAGTTTAGCAAAGGTTGAACCCAGACGTTTTCCAAAATACAGAATCACGAGCTAAATAAATGGTAATTTTAAGTAATTAGGTTTTGAGATTTTTGTTAAATAGTAATAGCTAACTGATACAGAAGTTGGAATCTAGGACTCGGGAACTAACATAATATATTTCATTGGCTTTGATAAAGAGTGGCAGAAAGAAGCTGAAAAGCGAGGAAACACCAGAGGCTGGGAAAACATTGAGGTAACTTTTGGAGCTGGCTGGGTAAACGGAAATCCCTTTCATGGAGTACCGAAGTAAATGGCAGAAACATAGCCTACAGCACTTTGAAAGGTTAAAAAAAAAGTACCAAATAAACTTTTGGTTTAACTGAACAAATCTGTACTCAGTATGCTATAGATAACAGCTAGTTGTCCTAGGTACTGCAGATCCCTAAACAATGTGGAGGTGAGGGAAAACCAATCCCCCACGCAGTTTAAAATTTGTGTACAACTTTTAGCTTCCTGCAAACTTAACTACTTATAGCCTACTGTTGACTGGAAGCCTTACTGATAATATAAACAGTTGATCAACTCATATGTTGTATATGTATTATATACAGTATTCTCACAATAAAGTAAGCTAGAGGAAAAGAAAATTTTACTGAGAACAGCATAAGGAAGAGAAAATATATGTCCTATCCATTAAGTGGAAGTGGATCATCGTATAGGTCTACATTCTTATTATCTTTATGTTGAGTAGCCTGGGGTGGTGAAGGATGAGTAGGGGTTGGTCTTTTATATCAGGGGTGGCAGGAGTAGCAGAAAGTCTGTGTATAAGCAGTCTTGTTCAATTCAACCCCATGTTGTTCAAGGGTCAACTGTACATAGTATAAGTCTACAAGCAGGACATACATACAGAAGATATCCAAATATCCAAATTGCCAAGTAAAAACTAAAGCTGTTTCTGAGCTAGACTCTCCCTAGGAAATACAATTCTCTAAGTCAAATTAAACCTGAAATCAAAGCTTAAATATTTCAGAATTCATACATAATTAAGGTGATACCTGGTAAACCCTCTCAGCTAGATGAAGGACTTCCCAGGATCTCACGGGTGCTGTTAAATACTTGCCTGACACACCGGATATAGCTTTGGATTAGTGCAGAGAGCAAAATATGTCTTGACAACAACTTAGAGTGTGGCTTTTGGTGATGAGGCTAAAAGGAATCAAATTCAAAGATGGCTCATACAGCATGTGAGACTTGCAATTCATTTGTGTCCATGACAGCTTACTCAAGTTTGATTGGGAGTTGTGTCTAAAGCCCTACCTAATAGTGAATTGTCACCTGGGCTGCTTCCAACTTGCAGATGTCTCAGTGTCTTCATGTTTCACTCACCTGTGGAGTCATGTTTGGCTGAAGAGTCATATCAGGTATCCCTGGGTTCTTATGTCATACCATCACCGTGATAGCCAACTATCAACTTTACAGCCTTCTACTTCTATGTAAATCACTGGACATAACACTTCAAAAGATTTTCAAAAACTGTTCAGAAACTAGAAGTAATAGGGTGGAATAAAAATCAAGGGTGATTAACTGGCTACTTTAACTTTTGTTGGAACACCAAAGAGAAATTGGCGCCGAAAAATAAGCAGCAAAATAACAGTAAATATCCAACAAACTAAAAAACCACCTGGTACGGAGTCTTCTGATATTTCTATTCAATCGATATTGGAGATATAATTTCCAATGTGGCTGTGTCCAGCACGGTGGACAGACACAAATCTGGTTCTCACCAAGTAGCAGTGATAGAAAATATAAACTGCTCAGGAAATGAGGGAAACCATCAGATGGCTGGGTAATTTGATTACAGCTAAGGGACAATGTTCTTTATGTAATAATATTCTGGTCTGTTACATTTAATAAATCTCTTCCTGATAGAGTGCCAGGGACTTGCAGTTATGAGAGCATCAAACCACATGGCCTCAAAGGGAAGTTTGTACTTTTGAAGAGGGATCTCAAATGGCCATGAACCCCGACACTCATGACTCTCACTAAATAGTCCATCAGATGTTTGTGCCACTCCAGTCATTTCATCCCCTCTCTCAGAGAATTCGAGTCCTCTTCCTTTTAAGTGCCACCCATGGGATCTAGCTCTACATTTTGAAAAGCAAATAAACATGCTTCCTTACCCCCAAGGCTTCAGATATTTTATTCATTTATAATAGATTTACTGCACATATACCATCTGCAGGGCTCTGGAGACTTCATAATGCAGAAGTAGCAAGCAGGCTCTCTGCTCCTAAGGAGTGCATGGTCCAATAAAAAATGCAGTGCATGCAATTAGGGGGAAAAAGTAAAATAGTTTGCTCTATTATGAAATGGTGTGTTATAAAAACATTGTGTCCTCAAATGGTTTAACTTTTCTAAATTAACAGGCTTCAGCTTCTTTCATCATCTGTTGAATGGCACAATTTCTCAGCATTATCTGAATATTCTGTTTTCAGAATCCTTAAAACTAAATAGAGAGGGAGATGAGGATGGACGGATGGATAGATGATAGATAGATAGATAGATAGATAGATAGATAGATAGATAGATAGATAGATAGAAAGAGTATGTATATGTGTCAAGCACCATAATAGGTATTGGTGACACAGACAAAATACTAACCCCTGTTTTCAAGAAAGATGCAGTGTAATAAGAGCTATGCTGTATATAGGAATGCTTTTCTGTGGGAACTCATAACAAGATCACTCAGTTTATATTAAGGATGTATCAGTCAGGGTTCTCTAAAGGAACAGAACTATTAGGATAGGTGAATACCTGAAGGGGAGATTATTAGGAGAACTGACTCACACGATCACAAGGTGAAGTCCCACCATAGGACATCTGCAAGCTGAGGAGCCAGGAAGCCAGTCCGAGTCCCAAAACCTCAAAAGTAGGGAAATTGACAGTGTAGCCTTCAGTCTGTGGCTGAAGGCCCAACAGACCCTGGCAAATCACTGGTGTAAGGTTAAGAGCCCAAAAGCTGAAGAATTTGGAGTCTGATGTTCGAGGACAGGAAGCATCCATCACGGGAGAAAGATGGAGGCCGGAAGACTCAGGCAGTCTAGTCCTTCCACGTTCCTTTGCCTGCTTTTGTCCTAGCCTTGCTGGCAGCTGATTTGAGGATACCCACCACGATTGAAGGCGGGTCTGCCTCTCTGAGTTCACTGACTCATATGTTAATCTCTTTTGGCAACAACCTCAAAGACACACCCAGGAACAATGCGTTGCATCCTTCAATCCAATCAAGTTGACACTCAGTATTCACCATCACAGGGTGGAGAGGAAAGGTTTCCTGGGTGAAGTGAAGGGAGGCTCACTGGTAGGCACACAGACTCATAATAGCCATCAGGAAGTTAAGAACGTGTATAAAGCAGAAGTAAAGCATGTAATATCGACTGTTTTACTGGAGAGAGCATATTAGTAACTAAAAACATTTACATTCAATTTAAAAGCAATCCAAAAATTGCAGGTCAGATTAAGGTCACAAGCCAACAAGCTGTAAAATGACTTAGAGTTTCGGAGACAGAAAAGGAGGTGGAAAGAAAAACAGCAGAGGGCATAGGGCCAAGACCCAGAGAGGTGAGAGGGACCTGGATACCAGGCCTTTGCTAAGTCATGTCTGTGATAAAAGGTGATGGAAGTGGCTTGGTTCTTCAATTCACGCATACTCTACCGGGCATTCAGCTCTTCCACTGTCTCTTTCCACGAGGGCATATAGACTCAGTGAATTCTTCATTGCTGTGGAGAGATTTCGTCCTATGTCCCATCTGATGTGCCATGTATTCACCTCTAAAACATGTTTTTCTCTTTACTTTAAAAACTTACCAAGCAGATTCCTTGGTTTCTTTCCTACTAGTGCTATCTTATTTTGCGGAGTTAAAAGGAAGTACCAAAGAAAGACGTTTAGGGTGCATTTATCGCATGCGCTATTCAATCCCTGCTGGCTATGTAGAATCCTCCATCTGCAAACTTAACAGCGAACATCTAATTTACAGACGCCTGTATGTATGTTGAGGAGACAAAGTCTCCCTGGATCTGCAGCTACTTTTTCTAAAGAGAGATGGGAGGAGAGGCTGCTGCCAGAGCTGCTTCCAAGGCCCCGGAGTCCAAAGAGTGCCTGTGGCCCCTTCTCCCACCTCAAACCTTCTTCTGCATTAATATCTGAATTATTCCTTAAGACTTGGCTAAACTTGACTACTGTAAAAGCATCGTGAAACATACCTGCTGCCAGTATCTCGCCAGTAGCAATTTCCCCAACAATACTCAATCCCTTCTGGGGCTCTGACTGAAACAAAGGGAGCCCCACATCCACTTGGAGCAGTGAATGCCATACCTCCCACCAGTGCCTGCACATCAGAGCTCTCTTCATCCGGAGATGACACCTTCCTGCCTCCAGAATGGATCCCTTTTCCCCATCAAAACCGGACCTTGCTTTCTGAGCCGATACTAGTCCCCACCTTCTTCAAACGAAATGTTTTGTCTACAAAAACCCAGGTGCATTGTCACTGGAGTTTTCTTACTCATCTTACTGATCTTTGCTTCCAACACCAACCTCTTAATTTGCTGATCTCTGCCAGCTCTTAGGTGTGTGTACATTAAAAACGCAGAGATGGGAGGTAGGCGTGACCTCTGACTCCTTGGGCAACTTTGAGCTTCCATAAAGTTTCCAATTTCATGGAAACTCTCCCTGTGTAAGCTTTTCACACCTAAATTTTGCTGAAGACATATGCTGGTGAGCTACGCAAGACCACAGATGAACTTCCAGGATTCATTTTGTTTGTTCATTGAAAGCCTAGAGAAAATAATTTTCAACTTATTTCATGATATTTCACACCTGACAAAATAGCAAGAAGATTCCCGTGCCTTTCAAATGGTGTGCCGAAGTTTTTGAAGGAGATGACATGGAGCAGACAGGCTGCTTACGCTTCCAGCATGCTGCTTGAAGGGATCACTGTAATCAGCTGGCCTAATATGGGAACAAATTTCCTGTCTTTCCTCTATCTAGGCCCTGATGGTGGATGTAGAGGCTTTACTATTTTGGTGGGGATATGAAGCATGGGAAACTGAACCAAAGGAAGAATGTGACTCCCTGTAAGTTCTGTTAAAAAAAAAAAAAAAAGTTTCAGGCCAGGCGCAGTGGCTCATGCCTGTGATCTCATCACTTTGGGAGGCTGAGGCAGGTGGATCACATGAGGTCAGGGGTTCAAGACAAGCCTAGCCAACTTGGCAAAACCCTGTCTCTGCCAAAAATACAAAAATTAGTCAGGCACACTGGCGTGAGCCTATAATCCCAGCTACTTGAGGGGCTGAGGTAGGAGAATCACTTGAACTCAGGAGGCAGAGGCTGCAGTGAGCCGAGATCACACCACTGCACTCCAGCCTGGGCAACAGGGCAATACTCCATCTCAAAAGAAAAAAAAAAGTTCCAATAATCTGTTTGATGGAGGAGAAATGAGGGGATGCAGAGGTGGTCATGGTCACCAACTGTGTGCTTGAGCTGCTTGTGAGGTTGGAGAGCGACAATGACTAGTCAGGTTGGTATGAAGACATTTGGGATATTGATTTTAAAAAGGGAGCAGGAGAGGTAGACAGGAATTCTACATCAAAGGTGCTCTATGCTTGTCATGAAAATGAGTCTGAATATCATCTTTATTTATTTATTAAATTATTTTAATTTTAATTTTAAGTTCTGGTGTACATGCTCAGGATGTGCAGGTTTGCTACATAGGTAAATGTGTGCCATGGTGGATTGCTTGAACATCATTTTCAAGGCAACAGAGCTAAGAAAGCATATTATGACGGAGGAGGTATATGTGACAATTATATTTCTCTCTTAATCTGTATGACTAAAGGGTTAACACAATATTAGAAGGATAATGTGAGCACAGAGAAGTGAAAAAGGATAAATACATCCTTTGTCCTGGATTCTAACCCCAGAACATGCTTGCCTTTGATGTAATAAAATCATGACTTTAAAACAGAACTGCATCCTTGCTTCCTGGCTCAGGAATCCCTGGTCCTTATATATATATATATACACACACACACACATATATATATACACTCCTTATATATATACACATATATATACTCCTTATATATATACACATATATATACTCCTTATATATATACACATATATATACTCCTTATATATACACCTTATATATGTATATACTCCTTATATATATATATATATATACACTCCATATATATATACACTCATATATACACTCCATATATACTCTTTATATATATACATATATGTGTATATATATACACTCCATATATATATACTCCTTATATATATACACATATATGTATATATGTTTGATGTAGAATATATATATATATATATATATATATATGTATATGTATTTTGAGAGAGTATCACTCTGTCACCCTGGCTGGAGGGCAGTGGTACAATGTTGACTCACTGCAGCCTTTACCTCCTGGGTTCGAGCAATTCTCTTACCTTGGCCTCTTGAGTAGCTGGGATTACAGGTGTCTGCCACCATGCCCAGCTAATTTTTGTATTTTTAGTAGAGACAGGGTTTTGCCATGTTGGCCAGGCTGTTTTGGAACTCCTGGCCTCAAGTGATCCACCTGTCTCGGCCTCTCAAAGTGCTGGGATTACAGGCATGAGCCACTGCACCCCACATCCAGGAACATGGATGCAGGTAACATGTGTGCCTCATTCAGGTACAGGCCTCAGAATTATTCCAGGCTTAATCCTATTAGAATAAGAAGACATATTAGGATTCAGTTGGGGAAGAGAGCAAGGGTCTTAGCAATCAGGAAGATTAAGGTCATTACTGGTGAAATGCCACAAAAACTTTCTTTACTTAGAAATATTAACCTTTTGTAAACTCCCACAAGAATATTATTTTTTGTTGTAGTTGATCTCATAATTTATTACACTCCTGGAGAAAGACTAGAAACCATTTTCTTGTACCTGGTCTGGCTTCCATCTCTTCTCTCTCTCATGATAATGATTGCCTACATTTATGGGGTCATACATTGCATATAGAGTGCTTATAATTCTTAAAAAATTTTGCAATTACTACTATCACAAAACTAGAGAAAATTTCAGGTTAAATCCAATAATATGTAAGTGGATACAAATGGCCGCCAATTATTCTGTCTATAACACAAATACCAGATTGTGCTGGGAACTTTACATACATTTTTAGTTTCTTCTTCACAACTTACTGTCCACAAAGTAAGTTCAATTATTCTAAGTTAGTGGGTATCAAAATTGAAATCTGTAAATATAAAGTAACTAAGGTTTTATGCCTATTATGAATTTGGTCCAAGAAACAAACACATGTTTATCTGGCATCAAAGTCCATGTTCTGACCATCGATGAAGGGCAACATTTAAAATAACTCCTCTAATTGTTAAATAAACTTCATATTTTAGGTTTCCAATATTGCTATTAAAGCAATATAAATATTATACATAAATTGGAAACATTGGCTTAAAAGTAAAATAATATCTACATTAAATGAATAAATTAATAATAGATTAATTAAATTAACTTATCAGGCTAGGCACAGCGGCTCCTAGCACATTGGAAGGCCAAGGTGGGTGGATCACTTGAGGTCAGGAGTTCAAGACCAGCCTTGGAAACATGGTGAAATCCCATCTGTACTAAAAATACAAAAATTAGCCAGGTGTAGTGATGCATGACTGTAATCCCAGCTCCTGAGGAGGCTGAGGCACAAGAATTGCTTGAACCTGGGAGGCGAAGGCTGCAATGAGCCAAGATCATGCCACTGAACTCCATCCTGGGTGACAGAGCAAGATTCTGTCTTAAAAGAAAATAATTAAATAAATAAATAAATTATCACATCATCATGTATTAAGTTATTAAATAAATTAAATTTGGGATATTAGTAATATCCCAGATATTATTAATAAAAATATTATTACAATAAGATAAGAATAATTTCTACTACTACTTTCGGTGGGTTTGTTTGTTTGTTTTTAATGCTTTAATATTTGGAATAGTTGGGCCCTGGCAGAAATATGGCAAAGTGTTGATTGAAGAATGATTATTAATGTAGGAATATTTACAAAGGTGTGGGCCAAGGTAAGGGAAATTTATAAGGGGTGGTGAAGCATCCTTGGGCTAGACAAAATAAAGAGGGTTATTACCCCTAGGCTTGAGAGCTCAAGAGGAGTGCGAAGTCACTAAAATCAACAGAGAAGAGAGCAGGAGATGAGGCCACAGACAGGATCTGGGGCCTTAAGTGGAGAAGTATAGCTGCTTAAACCCTTGGCCTGATAGGGAAAAGATCAGGTACATGAACACCAAAACATGTATCTTCTGCCTGCCATACTCAGACTTCCTGTGGGGGTTTTCTGTGGTTCCTACCCCCAAAACCCCAGAGGTCACAGGGCAGGATAGGACAGGTTATTCCTGATACAAAGTTCAGCCATTCAGCCCTTAAGGCATAGACAAAGGTGGAAAATGGTAGAAGATGGATTTGGAGGAGCCAATAAATAATATCCAACACAATATCTACTTTTATAGTAGGTTGTTACAAGACTATAAAGGTTATATATTATCCTTATGGTATAACTCTGGAAACAGAATACATCTGCCTTCCTCAGTTTTACTGGTTGTAGACAACAGAAACGGACGCCAGCTCCCTGTTTTGAAACAGTTTTCCCTGAGCAAAGAATAAGGGTGCAGGTGATTTTTGGGTGGAAGACTTTCCAGCTAGGGATACCACATAAAATATTGAATATCTGGTTAAATTTCAATTTTATATAAGCAACAAATAATATTTCAGTATAACTGTATCACAAATACTGCATCAGATATACTTGTACTGAAAAAAATCAAAACAAAAACAAGAACTACAGCAACAAAAGCAACAATTGTTATTTAACTAAAATTCAAATTCTGCCGGGTGTCTTATATATATATATTTTTCTAAATCTGACCAAGGGAAAACAGAAAGGGGTGGTTGAAGCATGAAAGGGAATGGAAAAGAGACAAACACGGCTGTAATTTCAGGAGAAGCTCCAGGTTCAGCCTGATTGTGAAGGAAGCTTTCAGTGTGCCAGACACCTCAGTTAGTCCTGCGTCAAGCAAAAGGAGCTGGGCGTCTGGGCTTCCACATTAGTTATATGAGTTGGTTATTAAGAATTAACAGTAGGCTCTGTGTATGATTGGGGTAGGGTAGGGATATAGGTAAAACTCTCAACTCACAGACCTTGGGATCTTCCTACCAGCTGATATGCGGCTCCAGTGTCCAAGATACCTTTTTGAATATGTCAGGTCTAATCAGTATCACTTCATGCAGAAGCAGAGGGATGAACGTACAGATCTGGTAAAAGGGACAGGAAGGGAAATAGCTATGGCAATAACAGTGTCCACAACATTATCTTAAGCGTGATGGACATTTGTTAAAATGCTTTTGGAAACTCATAGTGTGGACTGAAAACTGGAGGCCCCAGCAAATTGCCAACAGGGGACGAGGTTCTTTGAAAGCTGGCAGAGGTCACATCTTTGGATTGGACTGGGCTACATGCCACTGCCACTGTGTTACTGACTCAAAGAAATAAGAGGGGACTTCAATTGCCCCCACCCGAGTCACATGTCTGTCCTCCCTCCAGATGGCTCATCTTGAATAGAGAACCTGGCACTAGATGCTGGGAGCCAGATAGTGACAAGTGTTGCCTACTCATTTGTGTGCACACACAGCAAATATGCATCAGGCTCCTACATAATTTTTTCAACTTTAAGTGGCTAGAATAAAGGGAATAAACAATTCATTTATTTATTTTTCACCAAAAGTTCACTGGGTACTTATATATGTGTTGAAGATTTTTCAGAATTGTCTAATTCTTCTTGGTGACCTCTGTCAACACAACATTCAGTTTCATCTTTGTAATTGAAAATAATATTATTCTTCTGTTCAAAGCTCTCCAAAGTCTTCTCATTACAGTGGGAACAAACTCCAAGATTCCTAATGTGCTCTGCATGGCCTTGCCACTCATACCCTTTTTTTTTTTTATGACTTCCTTGCTTCTTTCGCTGTAGATATCCTTGGCCTGTTATTCTTCCTTGAATACAGAGAGCACATCCCCACTTTTCTCCATGATGCCTGCTCTGCCTGAAACACTCTTCCCCCGGATGTCTATATGACAGCTGCTTTTAACTTCATTGAGGTGTCCGCTGACCTGCCAACTCCAGAGACAACTCCCATCCCCATCATCTATGTCCTTTTATCCTGTTCTTTTCTTCACAATTGATAAATGAGACTACAACATATATGTATTGGGGTGTGTTAGTCTGTTTTCAAGCTGTTGATAAAGACATACCTGAGACTGGGTGTTTTATAAAGAAAAAGAGGTTTCAAGAGCTCACATTTCCATGGGGCTGGGGAGGCCTCACAGTCATAGTGGAAGGCAAAAGGCACGTCTTACATGGCATCAGGCAAGACAGAATGAGAAAAAAGGGGTTTCCTCTTATAAAACCATCAGATCACTGAGTCCCTCCCACAACACGTGGGAATTGTGGGAACTACAATTCAAGATGAGATTTGGATGGGGACACAGCCAAACCGTATCAGGGTGTGTGTGTGTTTGTGTGTGTGTGTGTGTATCTCCATCCCAAGAAAGCAAGTACATGGTCTGTTGAGTTCATTGCTGGACCTAAGTCCCCAAAATAGAACCTGGTAAATACAAGATTTTCAAAATATTCATTGAACTAAAGGAAGGAAGGAAAGAAGAGAGAAAGGAGGGAAGGAAGGAGGAAGGAAAGGGGTCCTAGATTCCGGTTTCACAGATGCAAAAAGTGATGATAAGAGGGCAAGGACCTTGCCTACATCTTCCTGCTCTTCGCCATATATGGTCTTCTTACCTCCTTGCTTAGAAAAAAACGTGAGTGCCTACAGAGGAACCTGTGCCTGTGCTCCCCCACCTCCCTTGCTTTATCTCCAGGTGTACATGGAAACACCCATATTACAATGATTGCTCTTCCTTCCTGGAACCACCTGCTCTGTATTTCTGAAGGTTACACCATCCACCATATCCTCTCCCATCCCCTTTGTGTTAATGCAATCTCGATCATCAAGGCCTCTCCCTCTACATAACAGTCTTCCTCCCCTCCCCGTCTTTATTCCATTAGTATCACCTGCTTCCCTCAGCAATGCAGTGTCAGCAGATTCTCAAACCTCAGAAGCCATAGTCTGATGATGCTTTAATAGAGTAAAAACTAGAAAACTTAATTAAGGAGAGGGCAGATATCACACCTGATTTACTACACAGCCTGGACCTTGTATGTGTAATCCTGACTACCAATAAGGTGTGTTATGAGCTGTGTAATATTGGTATCAAAGAGCAGAAACCTGAAAATTTGAGAAGCAGGTAAAGCATTATATAGTTTTAAAATATTATTATAATTCCTAGAATATCAAATGGACGATGCAAACTATAAATCCAAAAAGGTTTGCCACTTTGGGATATAATATTACAGAAATAATTGGGATGTTTATTTTGAAGTTTATGTTTCTATTGTTTTTCTTTGAATTTAGGTTACTGGAAGGCTTTAACTAAAGTTGAGTGATGTGTCACTTTACCTTTCTATCATTGGTTTATAATCACGTGGTGATTATCCCAGCAGTGAGGGCTGTTCACAATGGAATACAGTATAGGTTGTTCTTTCTCGCTCCTACTGAAATCAGGCACAATCATGTCACTTAATTTGACCAATAAAAATGAAGAGAACTTGTATCAGTCACTTCAGTAATGAAGGTTTGACAGTCAGTGAATAATGTATCTTTCCCTCTTCACCTTGTTTGCTTCTTACATTTTTGAATGACGCTTCCATCTGCTGGAGTCATAAATAACTAGAGTAAGAGGATGTCCCTGTTGGCCTGGGGGTGAAAATAAAGGAATTTTGTTTTCATCAGTCACTGGGTTGAGGGGTTAGGGTTATTTGTTGCTGCAGCATAAACTGGCCTACCCTGACTACTACGGGGGTTGTCAGGTAAGATCAGGAGAGAGAAATATGGAAAACATTAGGATTTTGGTATATATTGAAAAATTTCAAATGTAGAATAATGGGATAGTAAAATGTAAATATTATACTTATGTTTAAGAGAAAGAGAACAAACTTAAATAAGCAAATTTAGTAAACAAAATTTTAAAAAGTTATACAACAAAGAGAGCTCTGAGGCATGGGATGGGACCCAGGAATTAACATTGACGTATGAGAATCTGGAAGGTAAAGAGAAGCAAATACCTATATTTTTATCAAGTTCACTACGTTGCTTGCAACATTTTCTTGGATTGGAGGAGGCAGTAAGCTGTTACTTCCCTTGGTTTGTCTTAGATAGAGTAGAAAATCAATCAATCAAAAACTATGATACTTGAGTGCCATGTTGAGTGTTTCTGTGTTTCCAGCCCTGAGAAGACTATGACTACTAAATGAAGTGATCTGAATTGTGGATTGTTATGACTAGGACTGGTACTATCTAGCCTAGTATACTACATAGCCATGTACATTGGGACTAAGGAGATGCTATGACCTTACTTGAACAAAAGGTTATGGAATGCAGATGCACCAATGTAGTGTTGGGAAAGATATTAGAGGTGCATTAATAAAATGTAAATCTTAAATGGGAAAGACATGGGGGGAAATATTTTTAAAAGCAGCACTTTTATGATAGTTGTATTCATCTGTTCTCACGCTGCTAATAAAGATATATCTGAGAGTGGTTATTTTATAAAGGAAAGAGGTTTAATTGCCTCACAGTTCCACACGGCTGAGGAGGCCTCACAGTCATTGCTGAAGGTGAATGAGCAGCAAAGTCACATCTTACATGGTGGCAGGCAAGAGAGAGCATGTGCAGGGGAACGTCCCTTTTATTAAACCATCAGTTCTCATGAGACTTATTCACCATCACGAGAACAGCATGGGAAAAACCCACCCCCTGATTCAGGGTCCCTCCTACAACACATGGGAATTATGGGAGCTACAATTCAAGATAAGATTTGGGTAGGGACACAGCCAAATCATATCAATAATCAAAAAGATTACTTGTTTAAGAGAACACATCCTTGAATGGGTCCCTGAGATAAAATCCTACACAGCTGCTTCCTACATGAATAACTTTATACATCCTTGACAAATTATTTAAATTTTCTGTATTTCAGGTTTTTTCACTTTTTAAATTAGAAGATTATCCACCTGAAATAGAGTATTTCTCAATATATATTAGCTACGTTTATTGAAATAATGTTTTTCAAGGCCTTATTTGCTCTCAGAAGTTTGGGTTCTTGGAGCCTGATCAACTTGCTGTAAGTGCCTGTGAGATAATGTATGGTTGAGTACTAGAAAGAGAGAAAGTCCAGACACATGAAGGCTATGGTTTTTATAAATGAGGAGGTTGATGGATCTAAACCCATTGCCTGGCAGCCCATCACTGGAAGATTGGGACTTAAAGCACTTCTCAAAGAACTCTTTAGTTATTTTGTGGAATAGCCAAAGGAGTCATGGCTTTCACAAACCTGGCTCCCACCTGCAGGCACCACCCAACAATCCCCCTACTTCTCCTCTCCTGCCCTGCCTCCCACTTCTTTTCTCCCACTCATCGAGTTGAGTGGGCAAGCCTCACTGCTTCTATCTGCTTAGACAGCTCTATGACTAAGCCAATGAAACCAGCTCTGGTGTTCCCAAGCCATGGAGTCCAGAAGGCATTTGCACAGCCTGGTTCTTTCTGGCAAACTTGCTTTTCATTATAATCACTATTTTCTGTATTTTTCCTTAGTTCTAAAATAATTAACCATAAAGATCAAAATTCAATTTTCAAATGTTATTAAATTTAATTAAATATTTTACATATGAACTAAAATCTGCATCCACCAAACAGAAATCTTGCACCTCACAATTCACACGGTGCTTCACTGTAGTGAACGTTAAGCATAAATGAAACAGGCAAGTGGTCACTAAGAAGGACAGCATTAGGGCAGGCGTGGTGGCTCACGCCTGTAATCCCAGCACTTTGGGAGGCTGAGGCAGGCGGATCACCTGAAGTCAGGAGTTTGAGACCAGTCTGATCAACATGGTGAAACCCCATCTCTACTAGAAAATACAAAATTAGCCAGGTGTGGTGGTGCGCACCTGTGATCCCAGCTACTCGGGAGGCTGAGGCAGGAGATTCGCTTGAACCCTGGAGGCAGAGGTTGCAGTGAGCCAAGGTTGCATCCAGTCTGGGCAACAGAGCGAGGCTCTGTCACAAAAAAAAAAAAAAAAAAAAAAAAAAGATAGCATTTCTCATTATCTCATTTCTTTGTCTTTTTCTTTGCAATCTCTGTGCTATTAACTTCACCTTGAATCCTCTGCTGTCATGTGACACATGGGATGGAACATGAAGTACGCCCAGAGCAAGCTCAATGATTTTGAATCTTCACAAACTCACTCTTGAATCCCTTATGTGTATCTCAGTCCATGTATATCAGGACCTGACTCTCCAAGATGTCTAAGAATTTAACCTCCTTAGAGAATATCATGTTTATTTAAAGAAAAGTAATTTGAAAAATGCACTAATTTGAAGCAAATCTGTGTTGTGACTGTGTATGTGTACTTCCAAAGCAACAACAGCAGCAGCAGTTGTGTAAAATTTGAAGAAAATATGTAGTTTTATTTTTGTTTTGTTTTGTTTTGTTTTGAGAGTGCTTTATCACTGATGGTGTTTAGAAAGTCTGATACACTGTAATTGTAATGAACAGACTGACACTGGGTCAGTGTCATTGTTTCTACATTTCCGCAGACAATGAACAACCCATGGCCAGCCCCTCAGGACAGACCACTCCCACTGCCTGGACTGGTACGTGCCTGCTCCTAAGTTTCCTTTCTACAGGGTTGCAACCCCTGTCTGAATTCCCTGCTGAAGGATGGAGAACTATTTTCTGGTTTACTAAATGCCTCATTTGATCCTCCTGGCGTGAACAATTTAGCAAATGCCTAGAGCCTCTGAAAATATCTCTTGAATATTTGCAATAGCTTCTGACTTCCACTGGCTGGTCCATGTTACCCAGGTCACCAGAATGTGATAGAAAACTGAGGTTACACTATCCTAATCTGCCTCCATTTTATTTCTGAATCCATCTCACTACAAAATCTCTCCTGCTCTACTGTTACAGACACAAGTTGCGAGGCATAAATGTAGAGAAATGTTCTGATTTGTGTGTGTGTGCGTGTGTGTGTGTGTTGGGTTGGAGGCCCAGGTGGAGGTGGACAGGAGATTGCAGTACACCAGAAGTGGCCCCCCTGACATCTCCATGACTGTGCCATTCCACAGGGTATGGGAGAAATCTCTTTAATGCCTGCATGTATATTTCTATACATGCATCCATAAAAATTGAGTTGTCTGCTTTCATTCCAAGATGCCAAACATCTGGGTATATAAAAAAATGATGAGAATAAAAACCAAACCAAAAACAATGAGTTTAATCACAGCTTCATTGTCATCTATGTGTCAATCAGAGCAGCTGTCAGGGCTGTGATAAGAATGTGACTTTGCTACCAAGATAGACATGATGTCCTTCTCCTCCTCATTCCTCACCCAGTCTTACCTTTCTCTGGTTGTTATTCAGCTTCAAAACCCTCAGTCTAGGCATCATTCACTGCAGTTTTAGAGTTTTCAAAGAAAAGCCTTCTGGAAAAAATTTTCATTAATTTATTTTTAGCCAGAGAGAAGCAGGTGATAACCTTTAAAAATAAGTAAAGGGAACTGCTAGAAAACACACACACACATACACACACACACAGAGGAAATAAATTATTTTGTTCTCTTTTTTCTTTGTTTTAACATTTCCCTGAAACTTCAGCAGTTTTTTCTGTGATTTATTTTGTCTTGTTAAACATCATGAGAGGACATCACACCATATATGCAGGAGGGGGATAGAGTTTCTCATTAAGCCTGGGGCACCTGAGACAGTCTCAGCTGTGCTCAGGAGACCAAAGGACTGTTTACCTGAGAAATGCTATAAAAGACTATTAAGTCTGAACCATAGTTCAAAATATATTTTAGTGAAGACATTTTAATTAAATTTCTTTTTCTTTTTCTTTTTGAGATGGAGTCTTGCTCTGTCACCCAGGCTGGAGTGCAATGGCATGATCTCGGCTCACTGCAACCTCCGCCTCTCAGGTTCAAGTGATTCTCCTGCCTCAGCCTCTGAAGTAGCTGGGATTTTAGGCACATGCCACCACGCCCAGCTAATTTTTCGTATTTTTAGTACAGTCAGGGTTTCACCATGTTGGCCAGGCTGGTCTCGAACTCCTGACCTCGTGATCCTCCTGCCTCGGCCTCCCAAAGTGCTGGAATTACAGGCGTGAGCCACCGCACCCAGCCTAATTTTCTTAAAACAATATTATTGAGAGCTAATATGTGCTACGCCTCTTAAAAAATCTTAGAGATCTTTCTGTCTTGAAAAGCAGTGGATGGGGTGAAACATAGTAACTGGGTGTCTTCCTTTGAATAATTTCATAATATTTCATTTAATTCTCACTATATTCCCATTATCTTCATGTTTATATTCATGTTATATAGTTGGGGAAACTGAAGTTCAGACAAGTGAGAGAATAAGGCCTAAACCACACCACTTCTTGCTAGTTAATCTTGATGTCAATGAGCTGTAAAAAGATACAGATAGACTGTCGTGGGCTTCTAGTGGAAGGACAGATAACATTTTCCTGTTGTAGGGGAAAATGCTCTATGGAAGGGATGGTTATTTAGTCTTAACTGAAAAAACTTAGAGGGGTTTGGTCAGAAATTTGGGGAAGAAGGTTTTCTCGTGAAGAAAATAGCATGAGGGGAACACGGAAGAAAGAAATTATATGATCTATCCTTCTGTTTCATTTTCCTCCCTCCTATAGAACTCTTTACTTCCTCTTCAAGAGTTACAACCTCAAATCTCATTCAGTGAATTCATCCAATCATAAGTACAGGATCTCCTGGTGAAATGCAGTGCCCTGTATCAGATTTGGATATGACTTTCCTGGTTCTCAACCTATGAACAGAATAATACAAGTTGTTCGCCTCCAGACTGCTACTTGATACATGATGGCAGAACCCCAAAAGGAACCCCATAGTTGGCACTTGCGTTCAAATTAGGGAAAATAGGAAACATATAGTAGTTGATGTAGTTGATATATATAGTACTTGATGTTCCGTGGAATCTCTAAAGTACCTTGTGGAAAGACAATGGAATGGTACAGTTTTCCTGTGCCCTGGGGAAATTCATTCATTAGACTCTGGTCTTTCTCAAAGAAAAACGGTCTGTCTATTGTTCCATTTGGTTCTTAGCTCTGGGAATACATTTTCTTTGTTGGCCATGTCTGAAATGGATTTTAAGGAATATGCCTTCTTTGGGAAACATAGTCTCTGGAGTCTGCCTTCTGCTTCTGGGAGGTTTGCAATCTGAAATTATTTTACCATTTGGAAAATCAAAAGCATTTTAAGTCCTTGCTTGTGTTTTGTTTGAAAACACAGGTCTTTCCAACACATGGTATGTTTGTGATCCCCTTGCTAGCCATCAGTCCAATGCTTAGTTAACCACAATCAAAGTGGGCATGATTCTTGGGCATAGTTCCCAAACTTGGCTATTTGTTTTGTTTTATATTTTTTTACATCTTGCTTTCTCTCAAATTAATGGCAGTAACCTTGAGAACACCAGGAGGAGCACGTGAGAAGGTCACACTTCAATCACATCCATGCCCTGAGTCACTTTGTTTAACAGAGAAGTTTTGCCAGAGTTTTCTCACTCACACATCACTCATGTCCTTTGAAGATACCATCTCTTTGATTCTAGAAACAGTCAGGTTTTCTAATTCAACAAGGTCCTGAGTGTCTGGATTTTCTTTACTTAGCTTTGCATCAGCTTACAAATTACCTGGTTTTTGTTTTTGCTTTTTTTTCCCCCTATGTTGACCATGAATATTCTGTTTTTCAACCACAAGCTCAACAGTTACATGGTATGATTCTCAAGTTAACAGGGCCTACGTGCTTACCAAATATTTTGCTAGTTTATATCATGCATTGACATTTTCCCAGCCTCTGATGTTAGTGTCCTTTCTGTCTACTGTGGTGACTGCTGAGACTGAAACTGTTAGAATTTTGTTTTTGCCACCTTCTAGTTCAAGGTAGCTTTCTCTATTGTCTTAATACTAGCTACTGTAACAAACACACATACATCAATGATTTTAAAAAATAAAAATGTATTTGATGTCCCTGACACAGCCTGTCTTATTGAATATTTGGTGAGTGGTCTTCCACGTAGTTATTTAGAGATCCTGAGCCCTTCTGCTTTGTAACATCACCCCTATCTTGTGTCTTGTTAAAATCCTCCCCAGGGTTCTGCATCCAACCAGCCAAAGAGCTGAAAGAGAAGGATCAGTGAATTTCCTGGAGAGTTCTGTGGTGTGCATCCTGCCTGTCCATGCACATTGGCCAGACCTCCTCATACTATCCCATGAAAATGCAAGAGTTCTGGCAAATGTTGTCTTCCTATTTGTTGAGGACAAAAGGAAATAATTTGATGAGCGTACAGTATTGGCTCTGCCAAATGAGGAGTCTAGGGTATCACCAAAGCTTCAAATGGAAGGGACTGGGTATTGCAGAGACTGCTACTACTTATCCATATGCGTGTTTTTCTCCTCCTCCCTAAGCACACAGGTAGACTACACTTAACAGCCTCCTTGAGATAGTTTTGTACCATAAAACTGAGATTGAGCTTTGTGCTGAAAATGGCACAATCTACGTGCTGAAAATGGGTTTGAAAATGAGTGCAGAAGTAGAATGCACCACCACAGGATTTTTTAAATTTTGTATTAAACCACTGACATTTTATTACATTGATAAACATATCCATTACAAGAATGAGGCTGGGGCAGGCGCGGTGGCTCATGCCTGTAATCTCAGCACATTGGGAGGCCGAGGTGGGCTGATCACCTGAGGTCAGAAATTTGAGACCAGCCTGGCCAACATAATGAAACCCCATCTCTACTAAAAATACAAAAATTAGCTGGGCGTGGTGGTGGGTGCCTGTAATCCCAGCTACTTGGGAGACCAAAGCAGGAGAATTGCTTGAACCAGGGATGGGGAGGTTGCAGCGAGCCGAGATCACACCACTGCACTCCAGCCTGGGCGACAGAGTGAGATCTGTCTCAAAAAAAAAAAAAAAAAAAAAAAAACATGAATGAGGCTGGCCCTATCAATAATGATGGGCTCATCAAGTGCATGAATTTTGCATCCTGGTTAAAAGACTGAAATTTGGAGTCAAATATAGATTTGCTTCTCAGTGCTATGTTTGGGGAACTAACAACTATCAAACCTCTGCTATGTGTCAGGAACTTTAAGTGTTAAAACTATTTTTTTAAGTCTAGATTATTAAGTCTTTTATTGTTTAAGTGAAGAAATTGAGTTAAATAAATTTTCTGAGAAAACAAAGATAATAAAGAGTGAAGCCACATTTCACCATCTGATTCTTTTTTTGTTTTTTTTTTCTTATTACTGTCTTATTCTATTTCCCAATACCTTCCATTCTTTGATATTTTGTTTTATAAATTAAGTTCTCAATACATACTGTAGATTAACTTATTGATCATCATCCTTTTCCTTTTTCTTTCTTTTTTTTTTTTTTTGGGACAGAACCTCACTCTGTCACCCAGGCTGGAGTGCAGTGGTGCGATCTCAGCTCACTGCAACCTCCGCCTCCTGGGTTCAAGCGATTCTCCTGCCTCAGCCTCCCAAGTAGCTGGGACTACAGGCGCCCACCACCATGCCCAGCTAATTTTTTTTTTTTTTGTATTTTTAGTAGAGACAGGGTTTTACCATGTTGGCCAGGATGGTCTCGATCTCCTAACCTCATGATCCACCTGCCTCGGCCTCTGAAAGTGCTGGGATTACTGGCATGAGCCACCGCGCCTGGCCTAGTCACCATTCTTAACTCTCCTATAACATGAAGCATTATACATCCACCTCCTTGCCATGGTCTGGTAGCAGGTGAAGGCTACTTCTTTTGTCTATGGCTTTGAACTTGGCCAATGTGTCATTGCAAACATGATGCAAGTGGGGGCTTAAAATGTGTTTGTGAGATTTCACCTGCTGCTTTTTACTTCTGTCACTGCCATGAAAAAGTTATGCAACATTTTCCCTTCAGCCCAGAAGAATAAGAGAAGTGGGCCAGACGTGGTTCTAATTCACAGCCTGGAGACGTGTTCAACTAGACCAACCAACTCTTGCTGACTCACAAATAGGAAAGGCAGAAATAACCTTTGTTTTTTAAAAAAAAAACCTTTGTAAAAATACAGAGATGATATCTCTCTACTTTTTTTTATCCTCCAAAATAACATCTGCTCAAGAGTGAGCCTTTTATTTTTTTCTATCTAGACTGCCTTTGCCTTTCACCAAAATATTTACCCAGAGCCTAAAAGGTATCATGGATTGTATCAGTTGCAATGAACACAGGAATGAATGAGGACACGAGGATGAGTTGTTGTTGCTGTTGTTTCTTAGATTATCAGTAGACTGTGATGAATTTACATCACTGGATGTGTGCTTAGCGAAGTTTTGCCTTTCTCTGTTTTCAATGCCAAATCCACTCACTATGAAGGGCCATCTGTAGCATTTTAGAAAGAGCCTTGAGAAATTTACTTATAGTGGCTTAAATCTTCAGACTGCCTTTACCGTAACTCAGGGAGTTGGGGGAGAGAGAGAGAGATATCAGTGATCTCTCTGGAGAGTTTTGTGGTGTACATGATGCCTGTCCATGTTCATTGGCCAGACTTCATCATATTATCCCAAGAAAATGTAAGAGTTCTGAGAAATGTAGTCTTCTTATTTGTTAAGGACAAAAAGGAAATAATTTGATGGGCATACAATATTGGCTCTGCCAAATGAGGCATCAAAGCTTCAAACTGAAGGGACTGGGTATGGCAGAGATTGATACTATTTATCATTTTGTGTTTTTTTCCCCGTTTCCTATGCACACAGGAAGACTACAATTACCAGCCCTCTTGAGATAATTTTGTACCATAAAACTATGTTCTCTCCTTAGGAGAGGACCAGGGCAAAACTCCTGGTGCAGTACACCCCTCAGAGAAGCACACTGATATTGCTGACAGAGAAGTGCTAATACCTGGTGAATCAGAACACAAAGCTGGGACACATCTCAGCTCTGAACGTGAACAAGAGTAATTCTGATTCACTGGTGCATGAACATATATATTAGAATGCAGATGGACTGAAAAATTGGGTTGATACTTACATCTTAACTTACCACCAAGTCAAGTTGACGAAAGAGAAAATATATTTTCTTGAGGCAATTGTTTACGGTATCTCTGTGCTTCCAATTCTGAGTCCCTATGCCTAAGCTGCTCCCAGGTTCCCACCAGCAATTCTGTTCTTTTTAGCAGAGGGAGTTCATATTTCTCTACCCTGATGCTTACTTTCCTCATATGCAGCAAAGACCCATCAAATAATTAAGTATCTCTATGAAAACATTTACCTTATTGTGTTTTATTTTGCCTATTTTAGACATCCAACTCTTCCTCCAGGGAAAATTCGCACACACACACACACACACACACACACACACACACTCTACTATTTCTCATTGTTTCATGAGCAAGAAACATTTTGCTCTGATGTTAAAGCTTGAAGTAGATGATTTTGAAAATAAATGTATGAGTAGACAATTGTCTTACAAAGAGTCAAGAGATAGATAAGATTTGTGAGAGTAACCACATTTATTTCCAAAAGAAGCTTTCATTTTTAACTTCTATTGAAGTTGATTTACTTCTGAAAACATTGAACGATAAGCAATATTAATGTAAAGTAAATAAATAAATGTTTTCAAACACAATTGTGAAGTAAGACACTAATACAAAAATAAGCTGGAACAAATACAAGCTATGTTTCTCTTCTCCCCATTATGCCCTAAAACTACAAACTAAATTACACAGTACTCTTTAATCTCTAAAATTGTCCAAATTGAGGTAAACAATTCAGAATGCCTCATGCATAATTTATTAAGGATTTCACAGTGTCATGTATTTGCCCTAATTCAATAACATCACACTATTATAATTTGACTTTTAATATATTATGGTTATTTATTAAATTTTAAATGAGTCTCAAATTTGCTTTCTGCAGATTCAAAATTCCATGTTCATAACAGAACTAGACAAAAAGAACTATTTGAAATCTCTGTTGGGTCTTTGGAAGTCTTTGGGAATGGCACTGAATGACACAGTTTCCCTGCACATACACACACTCCCACATGTGCCAAGGCCAAAGACGGCAGGAAAGCTGATGTCCAAATGAGAGGAAGACTCCTGCAAAATTCGAGGAGAGCTCTCTGGTCAAGATTCTGTTCTAGGAATAATTGTGTACTTCATAGGAAATGCTCAGGCTTTTACTGAATACATTAATATTCTTGGGAAATTTTTTTCTTTATTTTTTCTGCAAATAAGTTTGAATTTCACAGCAGGAAATAAGGCAAAGCGGGAGCTTTGTATCATAAACATATAAAGTCAACAAATAGGGTAATTCAAAAGCATATCATTATAGTACCCATTACAAGCCCTTCATTATGAATTCAACATTTTCCTTTTCTACTTTATACATTGGTGATGTCAGTTTATAAATAAAACTATGGCTGGGCACGGTGGCTCGTACCTGTAATCCTAGCACTTTGGGAGGCTGAGGCGGGTGGATCACCTGAGGCCAGGAGTTAGAAACCAGCCTGGTCAACATGGTGAAACCCCTTCCCTACTAAAAATACAAAAATTATCTGGGTGTGGTGGCATGCCCCTGTAGTCCCAGCTATTCAGGAGGCTGAGGCTGGAGAATCGCTTGAACCCAGAAGGCGGTGGTTGCAGCGAGCCGAGATCACACCACTGCACTCGAACCTGGGTAACAGAATGAGACTCTGTCTCCAAAAAAAAAAAAAAAGAAAAAGAAAAACGAAGGTATATTTATGAAGAGTCAACCTAGCACCTGGCAGGAAGCTAGCAGAGTTCTTAGTTCATTTTTGTTGCTATAACCGAATACTAGTGACTGGATAATATATAAATAAAATTAGTTTGCTTCTCATAGTTCTGGAGGATGAGAAGTCCAAGGTCAAGGGGCCTGCATCTTGTATGGGCCTTTTTGCTGAGTCATCCCATGGGGGTCAGCAAACAGGGACATGCAAGAGAGAGAGGAAGAGAGAGAGACAGAGAAACAGAGAGAGAGTGTGTGTGTAATGGGGCTGAATTCATCCTTTTGTCAGGAAACCACTCTCATAATAGCTAGATGATATAGTTTGTATATTTGTTCTCACCCTAGTCTCATGTTGAATTGTCATCACCAGTTCTGGAGGTGATGTTTGGTGGGAGGTGGTGTTTGAGTCATGGAGGTGGGATCCTTAATGGCTTGGTACTGTCTTTGCAATAGTGAGTGAGTTCCCGCAAGATCTGGTTGTTTAAATGTGTGTGGCATTTTTGCAGACTTCCCACCCCAACAACTTTCTCTTGCTCCTGCTTTCATTATGTGATGTGCCTGCTCCCTTTTCACCTTTTGCCGTGATTCTAAGCTTTCTGTGGCCTCCCCAGAAGCTGAGTAGATGCCAGCAGCAGGCTTCCTATAAAGCCTTCAGAACCATGAGCCAATTAAATCTATTTTTTTTTTATGAATTACCGAGTCTCAGGTATTTCTTTATGGCAATGCAAGGACAGCCTAATACACTAACCTACTCTCATGGTAAAGACATTAATCCATTCATGAGGGAAGAGAAATTATTATCTAATCACCTTTTAAAGGTCCCACCTTTCAACGTTGTTGAATTGGGGACTAAGCTTCCAATACCTGAACTTTGGGGAACACATTCAAATTATAGCATACAGATTTGCTGAATGACCCTAGAAAACATTTCCTAAGTTTTTAGGAAATAAACCAAAAATACACTTATATGTTTTATTTCAAAAGGTCTATTGCTTTAACTTTCATCTTTAAAAACACAGTATCACCAACCCATTCAACTGAAACTCCTTTAGAGCATACTCTGAGATTTGTTTGCTCTCTAATAACCTTCTATCCCTACCCAGTTAATTCCATAACCACATGAAAGAACTTCCTATCATTCTACCTCTCGTTCATATTTGCCTTAAATTCTCTCCTCCTTACTTCTGGAACTGAAGGAAAAACAACCAAACATCTAGAGCTTTTTTTTTTTTTTGAGCCCCTTGGTAGAACCAAACAAGTTGGCATCTTTGTGATCACAATACTTTGCAAATCTATCGCTGGTAGTAGTTTCCATATTGTGTCATGGTCATTCATGTAAAAGGATAAATGCATCGTTAAATGTCGAGCTCCTTCAAGATTAGAGATATCCACATCTGTATCAGCAATGCACAATGCAGTACTTTTACATAGCAGTTGCTTGGTAAACAGCTGTTGAGTTGAAATTTAATATGGATAAGTGTATATACAAAGATATATAAAATTACAACATAAGATTCAGAAGCAGGCATTTGGACTTACATACTAAAACATACAAACACAGAGGAAATGTACATGAGGACTCTGTAAAGTAGGCAAAAACAGAGGAGTCAAAACTTGGAGAAGTGACCTCCTAGGGGTGAGGTTCTGTAATTTTTCGTATCTATTTGCTTTCTAAAAAAAAAAGTTCTCTCAACTTCGGTCCAATGATCAACCCCCAGTTGGAGAGAAAAGGCACCATGATGCTGGCTAAACAAAAAGAGGAATCACCTATATCTGGCCAGAGGAAAGAGGAAAACAGGAGCATGTGGGAAAAATTTGAGATTATTGATAACTATAGACATACGTCTGCTAAATCTATAAATGAACCAAAATTGCAGACTTATTTCTGAGCTATGCATGTGTGAGAGAGACCCAAACCAGTATAACAGAGGTTTGGCAAGCTGAACTGAGATTTGGACTGCTGCTCAGTCTCCAACTTACTCCAGGATTACATATGCAGGGAAGACACCCAAACCAATGTACCAAAAGCTTAGAGAACAGAAGTAAAATCAAAAGTAAACACGTGTGTCTCACACCATTCCCTGAGCTATGCAGGCATAAATCAGACCCAAAGTAACATAGTAGAGTTAGAGATATGATTGAGATTTGAGCCATCACAAAAAGAAGAGGAGATGGAATTCACAATCTGAACCTATCTGGGCTGATTGCCTGCTAGAACAAAACATTATCATCCTCTATATGATTATAATACTACCTAGCATCCTCACGAGATAACATTCACAATACCCATGTTAAAATTCAAAATTATTTATATACAAAAAATAGGCCAGGTATGGTGGCTTATGCCTGTAATCCAAGCAGTATGGGAGGCCGAGGCAGGCAGATTGCTTGAGCCCAGGAGTTTGAGACCAGCCTGGTTAACGTAGCGAAACCCTGTCTCTACAAAAAATACAAAAATTAGCCAGGCATGGTGGTGTATGCCTGTGGTCCCAACTACTTGGGAGGCTGAAGTGGAAGAATTGCTTGAGCCCAGGAGGTTGAGGCTGCAGTGAGCCAAGATTGCACCACTGCCTGGGCAACAGAGTGAGACCCTATCTCAAAAAAAAAAAAAAAAAAATATATATATATATATACACACACACACACACACACACACACACATTAAATAAATAAATAAAAAACAAATTTTCAGGTGGAAAAGCAATCAATAATCAATAGATGCTAACCTCAATATGACTCAGGTATTAAAATAATTATAAAAACAGAAGAACTTTAAGCCAGCTATTAAAACCATGTTCTATGAGGTAAAGAGCTATGCATTCAAATCCATATGAAAGAGGTCAGGAGTCAAGAGATATATTTTTTAAGTGAAAATTTTGAGCGTAGAAATACAGAATTTAAAAGAAAAGTTTACTAAATGAGCTCAATAGCAGAATCGATAATAGAAGAGAAAGCCAGTCAATTTGAAGATAGATCAATAGGCATTATCCATTCTAAATAATAGACAAAAATATCAGGGAAGAAACAGATCTAAAAATTCTGTGGGAAATTTTCAAAATGTCTAATATACATACCATTGAGGTAACAAATAGAGAAAACATAGTAGCTCTGAAAAACATATTTAGAGAATCACTAAAAATTTTACATTTATAGTTTTAAAAAAGCTCAGTAAATCTCAACACAATAAACTCAAAGTTAACCATTTTTTAGATACAACATATTAAACTGCTAAACATCAAATGTAAGTATAAAATGTTGAAAATAGCTAGAACAAAAGACAAATCATATACTACACACGGGAGACACTGACTTGAATGACTGTGAATTTCTCATCAGAAATATGAGGCCAGAAGAATATGAAATAACTAAAAGAATCAAAGAAAGCCATGTTACAACAGAATTCTACATTCAGCAACAATATTTTTCAGAATGAGAGTGAACAATAGACCTTCTCAGATGAAGGAAAACTAATGAGGTTTGTAGGTGTGTGTTTGAGTGTGTGCATATGGCAGATTTACACACATTTCTATAAACGTTTTCAGAAAATATTGCAAGAGGGATCATTGCTTAACTTGTTTTAAAAGACCAGCACAACCCTAATACCAAATCTGACAGAGGCATTCAAAAAAGACAATTACGGACCGATGTTCTTTACATTTATAGGCACAAAACAAAATATTACCAAATAGAACCTAATAATAGATATTAAAAATTTAATATTTCATGACAAGTGGAATTTAACCCAGGATTGTGTGGTTAGTTTAATGTTAACAAAAATTCAGTCAATAAAATTTACCACGTTCCGGGAATAAAAGGTTCTTTTAAATAGGTACATAAA
Source organism: Homo sapiens (assembly GCF_000001405.40). NCBI lineage: Eukaryota > Metazoa > Chordata > Mammalia > Primates > Hominidae > Homo > Homo sapiens. Next base: position 137,496,978 of record NC_000008.11, on the reverse strand, counting down.
GAACATTAGACAGAATTTAACACTCACCTAAAGTAAAAATAGTAAGGAACTTCCTCAAATTTTAAAAAAGCACAAATGGAAAATTGACAGCAAACGTTACAGTGAGAGACAATTGTTTCTCTCTGATTTCAAAAATAAGGCAACTGAATTGTTTCCTCTTGTTTTGGGAAAAAAAAAACCTCTTCTATTCAGCCTTGCATTGGTGGATTTCAATGAGTTAAGATAAAGAAAAGGCTTAAAAATTTTAAAGGAAGAAGCAAAATTGTCTTTATTTGCAGAAGAGATGATATGATTGTTTATGTAGAAAATCCCAAGGAATCAAAAATTAAAAGAAAATAAAAATGAAACAAAACAAGAAACCAAAAGCCTACTCAACATTATTCATGAATTTAGATACACAAGGCTACTAATTCAAAATTAATTCCATTCTTATAGAGTAGCAGGAAACAATTGGAAATTAAAATGCTGGCAATTAAACTGCCCAAGTCATTATGAAAGATGGAGTGAGTGAATCTATAATTGAATTAATTCATTTTCAAAGAATTATTTGTTCATTAACATACTTTTAAAACATATTTTGTTTTTAAGTGGATCAGATACTTAAAGAAATGACTGAATTTTAATATTGGAAAAGATACACATCTGAGTCCATTTTATGTTATTAAGAAAATCTCTGTGTTAAAAATGCCACTCTAGCTTATTAGAATATTAGCGTGTGCTTGATCCTGCACCCATTTTGAATATTGTACCATTAAACACACTTGACTAAAGTCTCAGGAAACCTTAGCTACAGGTCTGATTCTGAAATGAATCCACTGTGTGCCCTTATGATGGTATTCTATTGATCCTGGCTTAGGAAAATATGCAAACTTGGAAAAGATATGCTTTAAAAAGTTTTTTAATATTTCAAATATTAAAATATTTACACATTATAATTCTTGTATTTTTTGTTGCAAAAATTTATATATTGCAGAATTGTAAATTGTAAAATGTGAATGTATGGCTTTTTTTTTTCATTTCTTGATCTCCAGTTCACATTCTCTTCTTTGACAGTCTCATTAAGACTTTTCTCTATATTATCCCCGATAATTTCCTTACAAACATACACACGTGCTATTAAATGAAACCATTTAAAATCCTTCAAAATGTTCTAGCATCTGTGTTTCTCAGTGAACATCTAGACTTCAATATTTACTTCTAACAGTGATAAATATACTAAAAATGCCTCATTTAAACTAATAAATGAATATCCTTGATTTTATTTCTATCCACATTATACCTATTTTTGAAGATCTCATTCAAGTGAGAATCGAACTTACATACGAATATATGAATAAATCAATAACCTCAAATCATATTCAATCCAGACGGGTTAGGTATGTGTTTTTGTTGAAAATGTCAGACATCTGTGATAACGTATTTAAATCAAAGTATTATACATTATGTATTTTTCTACCTTTGTGTCTGTATGGATCTTCTTCCTTCTAGCTGATGAGTCTTTTTCTTGCCTTTGAAAACAATCATATTCCAATTTTGTATTTTTTCAGTTTTTGTTTCCTGGGTTTTTTATTTGTTTGTTTTTGACAGTGGCCTTGCCACTTTTCTGGAAGACTTAAAGAATATGGGAAATGAATCTGCAATTTAAAACAAGGGCCACACTTAAGAAACAGACCTGAGTTTCAGGTAACGCAGGGATGCTTTAAGAGCTTATTCACATGCCATTGCCTAGTATCCTCTGGATATTTCAGTACATTTCTTGAAGATTAAACCCTCACTCTATTCCTTAATGTACTCTTCTAAACCAGGTTTTTATAGTACATTTGCAAAGCACCTTTAATGTCAAATGAACCCCTGTTCTCAACTTCATTATCACAAAAATGCCAGTTCTTCTGTAGTAAGGAAATCCAATTACTTATGACTAAGGTATTTGGATGAAAACAACAAAACCAACAACTGTTAGTGGAAATAAGGCCAGCATTTTGTACAATCTCACAGGGGTTCTGATAAGGCTGTGTGAATACGGAAAAAGAAAACCAGAAGACAGACAGCTTTACGATGCTTAGACCACAGTCATCCTATTTCTAATCCCATTTTCTTTTCTTTTCTTTTTTTTTTTTTTTTGCTTTCAAGACCTGCATCAGAGAGAGATTATTCCTAACTGTGTATTCTTTTGAATTAATTTGCCAGATTTGAAGAAAATGAGGGAAATTAACAAGGACCAAGATAAGAGGTCAGTAACAGAAGAGAACTCATTTTTAGCATATTTACTTAGCAGACGGTTTTGAGCAGACCACGGAGTTTTGAAGTAAGAAGGATAGCTACTGAATAGTGGTTTGACCACTTGATATGTCCCTCAGGTAACCCTCACATCTCTCATCAGTGAAATAAGAAAAATAAAAGCCACTTCAAGGTGACATCATTGAGGAAACACAACTAGTTATTGCATGCAAAGCTGTAATATAGAGTAAATGCATGTTCTAGAGGATTAATGGGTACTTTTGTCATGAAAACTACCTAGTATTTTAGAAAGAGAAAGTACTTTAGAGTAAAATAGACCTATATTAAGATCCCGATCTACATTGGCTGGCTATTTGACCTTGGAGACCTTATTTCATCACTTTGTGCTTCAGTTTTCATGTCCGAAAAAATAACAAGTCTCAGCTTAGAGGTTGTCATGAATTTAATGAAACTGAATGAAACTTCTGGTATACAGTCATCACCATAACCTTCACATATTCCTTTGTGTTTTTAATGTCCTTCCTCATTTCTTTATTACATACAGATAAGTTGAGCTTAATAATCTAGTAAACAGTCCAGTGCAGTGAATAATACTCAGAAAGCTCTTCGCTACAAGTAGATCTTATTACTGTGAGTGCCAATCCACTTCTTTTTGGGAGGACTAGTTATCCAAACACCCCTTTTCCCCAAATTTAACAAAATAATGCCCACAGTACTGACCTTCTTACACTCTTCAAGCTCCACGAGGCACGCTATCCTCGTCTGGCTATCTCTTATTGAAATTACCCATAAAGAACCCCCAACATTAACTTATCTATATGATAGAGAATATTTCAGGGACCAATTCCAAGAGAAACAGATCTTCCTAAAAACATTCCTGAGTTATTTATTTGTGAAACTCTCAAAAGGAAGTAAGTCCCTCAACTTTGTCCCTGAAGCTGATGTTAGGAAAAGGGAGTATTTATTTTCCAGAGCCTTCCAAGACTAGCTTTGTAAGCAACTGATTTTAAGATGTGAGCATCCTATTGTATGCCTCTAAGGTTCTAATTCTATGATAATAAAAATGAAAAATTTCAGTGTATTAATCTAAAATTTTAACACCCTCAAAGTCTAAATTTTAAGCTCTTATCTCAACATCCGACAAGACTTTGAATATTCCCATTAAACATCTAGATTCTACTGCTAGATAGATACTCTTTTGGATTTTCTAGCAGGTTTCTTCCTCTTCCAACCAAGAACCTGAAAATAACAAACCTTTTATAATTCCACGTGACTTTCATACTGAATACGTTCAACATCCTAATATGATATAATGGGGTAGATACCTTGCCCAGAAATAACTTGGGTTTTAACCTGAAGCAAAGGCAAGCCTGGCATATCAATATATCATCTTTATACCTTCTATGCTCTCATTTTAAAAATCATGACTTAAGGATACCTTTCTCAGAAGCCTGCCTGGATTTACCATAGACATTTTCCAAACACATGACGTCTTAATTTAAAATGATTTCTAAGGGTATTGTAACTCTCTAAATCTTGTGAGTCCATTATCCACTCTTAAGCAGTTTTTTTTTTTTTGACTGCATGCTTCTAGACGGAAAGATCATAGTTGCAGTATAAGTAGCAGGCAAGGATACATGTGTAAAGATGTGTACACTCAGGATGTGCGCTTATTATCTGACAAACTGTGTACAACTTGGCAAAGGAGCCACTAGGTGGGGGTGTTGCCCTGCATTCTAGGGCCAGGAAGCTTCCCATGATTATCGCACTATTGTTAGTGCAAAATCGACAAAGCCTTGCCAAACAGGTGCATGAGTTCTTGTCTAAGCAGGTGAGTTGATCAGTAATTTCCACTCTGATAAGGATCACATATTTTTACAAAGAATATTAGATGTGATAGATATTTATCCTTGCCAAATGAAGTACACAAATTTTTCCTGTGGAAAATACTTCCCCCCCACACCCCCCACCAAGAAATATCAGTGATTTATTTTTCATAAAACTTAAGTCTATCTTGTGAAGTGTGGTGCTTGACACAGATCTCTTGGCCTTTACGTTCTCATTCACTTTTATTAGAATCCTAAGTTGGGTATTTTATATGTTTATATGGGTTTCAGTCTTGCTGTAAGTACAGATGAGGGGTTTGGAATGTATTTTTGCTAAGATGGCATGTAAACCTGAGGTGACTGACCTTTCAGCTGTCACCTGCAGAACCTGCAGTCAGGCTTTAGGCTCTGCTACTGGCCTCTTTTTGCTGCTGGCCCCACGTGCCAAGGACTGTGTCTGGGGTAACTTCTTGCTAACAGAGCCATGGGTCAGTGGGTTTGGCCAGATGCCATCTCTTTCTTCCATAAGGAAGAAAGGGCAAGTACATGGCCTTCATTTCCAGTAGTGCTTCCAACACCAATATTATGTGAGGCAAGTATGTAATTTAAAATTTTCTACCAGTAATATTTATAAAAAATAGTAAGTTAGTTTTAAAATATACTTATGTAACCTAATATATATATATAATGTTATTTCAACATGCAATCAACATAGAAACTTACTAATGAGATAGATCACACATTATTTTTCTTTGTTCTAACCCTTAGACACCGATGTGTGTTTTGAATTTCTAGCACATCTCAATCTGGATGTTATATTTTCATAGGAAATACGTGATCTGATTTTAGACTTCATAAAAGTTGCAATTGCAAAAATAGATCCATATACCCAAGAACTCACAAATATAATTAAATGTTTTCCAATAACGCACTGAGTATTGGTTATTTTTGTAGTTTAAATTAAATTAATTCAATTTAAGTAAGACTAAAATTTCAGCTATTCAGATGGACTTGCCACATAGCAATACTCAATAACCAGGAGAGGCTCGAGGCTGCTGTATTTAAGATTTAAGGCACCATGACACGCTGAAAGTAATCTCATTGGATCTTGCTATAAAAAAAGAAGACAATCATTTTATAACTCCCTAGGGAATTTGCTGAACTGAGAACTATTGTACCATTGGCATAGCTCTTCTCTTAAACATAACTGGGCATTTTTGAAAGCAGATGCCCTACATTTATTAACATTTTATCTTTCCTGATTCTAGATCAATATATGGCACACTACAGGAATTCCATACTTTTTGATTTGAATTAAATAATGGAACTCTTTACAGATATAACATGTTCTGTGAAAATTATAAAATTCATTATTATTAATATGTTCCTGGCATTTGTCAAAAATAATTACTAATTGATTGGTATTGAGCTAAGTAAGGTCTCCTTATGACCCCAGTAATCTCAACTCAAACAGAACTCTCAGACATGGCCATAGTCAGCTCATCTCCTATTGCTGAGAGACATTTAAAAAAGAAACTTGCATTTTATTACACTTATATTCTTCCCCTGACAATTATCGAACTTTACGAATCTCAACCTCATTACGTTTGGATAGGAACCAACTGTCTGCAGGAAACGGTACTAAAAATTAATGATGGTGAATTGCTGATTAAAAAAAAAAGTGGTGGAAGAAAGACATATGGTTAATGATGACATATTATTGCAGAAAAATGCAGTAGTTTGCACAAGTTCTGGTGACAGGAATTGGAGTGGGAATGCTGCTAACTCAAGTGGCAATGTTAGGAACCACGCAGGTCCTCTCGAAGCTGCTTTGTGAAACTGCTCTTCCCCTATGATCATATTTGATATGGAACATTACTTCCTGGTTGCTGAGGTTCAGCATGTAATGGGGCTTTGTCATAAATGGAGAGAATTTCAGGGAGAGGCGTCTTTCTCCATTTCCCTTAAATTGAATCTAGCTGTGTATGAGTTTAGGACAAACATATGGAACATTTGAGCACTCATATACCGAGCTCACCATCATGGGTGCTGAGATAGCTGTGTTATTAAATTTCTTGCCCAGAATAATGAAATCGTTCTAACTGTAGTTCAGAAAATAATGAAATTTGAATGGAAGATATTCTCCTTTTTTGAATATAGAAATGTTGTCCATCCCAACTTTTATCAAAGGAATGCTCCCTCGGCATGCCACATTCAGACACTTTGCTTTCTGGAGTGTAGATAAAAGGCACTTTAAATTTATTTTATAAAAAGAAGATGAGAGAAATAGAATTCAGCCCAAGCATATGGAATTTTTTAAAACTCACACACTCACTTTGCCCTGTCCATCTTGAATTCCCTATAAACCTTAAGGGAGTGACTTGCTCAGATTCCTTAACTGTCAATAGGATTGAAATTAATTTAGCCAAACCAAAGAACAGGCTTTTGGGGACAAAAGGATTATGAGAGTTGAACTGGAGTTAGGAATATGATTGCAGAAGTAACCTTGATCTTCAGTAAATCCACAGCCAATCCTACTTGAAGCTTCCTTAAAGGATGTACCTAAAGCAAGAAGAATGACCAATGTATCAAAGAACGTTATCATTATTAGCAAGCCTAACAGCCGAACTTCAAAACACAGGTTTGAGTCTCAAGAGCTTACCAGGCTGTTTTTGGGATTCTTAGAACCAGGTCTAGGTCAGTTTAAACTCAGGATAAGTGGATAGAAGAAATACACATACACACACATACACACACACAATTTCTGCCAGTTGCAGATGTGGTCCAATCAGTGTACTAGAGTCTGATCAGTATGAATAATATGGATATTTTGGGGGACAGGAGATGAAGGGGGAGTCTGTTCTGTTTCTGCATGGTTGATAAATGTAAGAGAAAACAACTTCCTTCAAATCACACTCCAAATTGCTGCGGTTTATAATGGAGAGGAGATTCAACAGAGACTAGACAATTCTTCATCTCACACCAGCGCTCCAATCTCAGCTTCCTTTTGGGTCTGGGTTGAGTATAGTTGTTTTAACACTGATTCCTTCTGCCATTTGCAATCACCCCCCACCCCCCAGTGGGTGCCATTCCTTCCTCACTATTTCAGCCTGATCAAACATGCTTTTTTCCTTTGTATATTCAACAGAGCTGAGAGGAATCACATAGCTATCTACTTCATGAAGTTGTCTGTGACCCCCTTTTGGAATTAGTTTTTTCGTTAGAGAACTTGGCTTATTTCAAATATAAACCGTATTGTAGCTTCACTTGACCTGAAGTCATTTATAAGAATGCTGCCTTCCTCACCTGACATTGAGCAACTTGATGCTACGCTGTGCCTTGCTAGATAGCAGCATGATACAGAAACACAAAAACATGCAACAAATAAAAATATAAAAGAAAACCTCACCAAAGTCTACAACTTATTAGATACATAACCTTGGGCAGGATGAAATTCATTCTATTCCTCTTTCTAAGGGTCATAGCCATAGTATCAACTTCATAGTTTCTTATAAAGTGTTGAATACATTTTTATCTCCAAGGTCCTGTAATATAAAGTTATTAGTTCAAGGTTTTTGACTGGCTGAACTATTGAATGAATAAACCATTCATATTAGTGTCTAAAACTGTCTATTAACTCAAGGCAGGAGTATGTATTTATTTACTTACTTTAGAGGCATAATTATAGATGTATATACAGTTGTAACAAACAATCCAGAGATAGCCTTTCTATGCTTTACCAAGTCTTCTCAATTATAGCATTGTTGTAATAATTTAGGTTAGTAGAGAGGGCTCAAGCTCAGTGAAATTTGAATTGAAATGACATGTATTAGGATTCAGAGTGGAGATCTTGGCTTTGGCATCTTTACGACTGCTCCTCACCAAGTGAGTAATAAAACTTCTGTAAAAACAAGACAAGCACATTCTTAAGACCATCTCCTTTTTTAAGTTACCAGCATGCTCCAGCTGCACTGTCTAAGCCATCTTGTGATTTGTATTCAAGGCTAAGGTTGACCCAGAGCCCAGTAAGGGGATTGGGAAGAGCATGTTATTGTTGTTTTCCACTCCAAGGAACTTGATAAGGTGTCATTCAGTAAGCAGTGGCAAGAAATGCAATTCCCCATCCCCGAGTTGCACTTCTGCAATACAGCGGAAAAGCTGGTTTATCAGGACTCTGGGGATTCCTCTAAGGGCACAGCCTGGAAACATGTTCTGGAAAGTTCACAGCCTTCCCTTCTAGAGATGTCCAGCGGTGAGACAGCCTGGACCAAAGTAAAACACAGCAGCCTGGGAACACTGCCTCTGTGTATTGCTCAACAATACATGCATAGTGGTTCTGGTTTAGATTTGGTCAAGTAAGATGTCAGTTCCAGTGGCTTGTTTGGCCAACACCCATGAAACTCTCAAATACCTGGCATCCTTTAATTCTTCAATCAAAACCTGCTTACCTTCGCCATGGCATGTTCCAAACCCTCACCTCGCCCCTCAGCTTCATGTTTCCTTCCAGTCTCCCTTCAAATCTCTCTGACGACTTCATCTGTTCACAGAAAATAAAGGCCCTGGGGCACACTTGCCTCTCCTGCCTGCTGTTTCCCAACAATGCATGTTCCTATCACCTGGTAGCAAAGTTGGTTTATGCAGCTCTCGTTGCCCATGTTCTGGCCATGCTTTCATGCAGTATTGGTAATGAGGGACTGCCTTGTGCGTTACAAAAGGGGTGGCAACCTTCCTGGCCTGCACCGCTATGTGCCAATAGCACCCTGCAGAACTCAGAGGATCAAAACTGATGTCTGACCTGGCCAGAAGTCCCCTGGGGAGTAAAATCGCCCTCTTCTGGGAGCCACTGTGATAAACTCATCTCTTTTATTACTTTCCTCTCTTGTCTTCTCAAACATTTTTGCCCCCCTATATGTTTACTTTGGTTTTTGTTTCCTCTTATATTTCTTGTGTTTACTGACTCCTTTCGTAAAGTATGCAGAAACATACCAGTTACTCCTAGCTGAAAATAAATGAACAGAAAAACAACACAAAAGAAACCCACAAAAAACCTCACTTGACCCTGTGGCTCTGCTAGGTGTCGGCCCCCCGCTCTCGGATCCTTTGCCTCCAAGCACAATCTGCTGTACACACTTGCACACTCTATCCTATCTAATCTCGTTTCTGATGCCACCACTCTTGGAACTGTTCTGCCAAAGTTACTATTGGTTGCTCACTTGCTAAGTCCTATGGAAATGTCTAGTTTCCCATGTTTTACGTGGCTTCTGCAAACTGTCCCACTGAAGAGCAATTCTCTTCACCCCGCACATTTTATACACATCTCAATTCCTTTGCTACCCAACTTTTTGGTCTTAAATTTTGTGCCATGGTTGTGTATAGTTCATAAAATCCTGTGCATGCCTCTCTCTACCCTCTCATCATTGTTTCAAATTATTCCTTCCTGGGTTGATCAGCTCTCAGACTGGCCATTCACATATGGTGCACGTGCATGATGCATTGATCAGGTGTTACTGATACATGCTCATGTCATATTAACAGACATGAAACTACGTCTGTGAATTGGTTCATTCAGCTGTTTCCTCTTCATCTATGACCAACTCATTATTAATCTTCTTCAAGCTCCTTTTCATACTTACCTAGATATCATATGTGTTTGCTTCCACCATCCAATCATATTTCTACTCACCCAGTATCCTCCCTGGGTAAGTAAAAATACTCACATAGTTTCAGCAACCTTGAAATTTTCTCAAACGCGTCTCTAGTCAAAGTATCCTTCACCAGCCCCAGGCTCAACTTTCAGAAGCCCTCTAAACAAATATCACAAAGACCTTACCGTGATACTTCAAACAAAAGTATACAAAATTCAATTAATTATATCTCAAACTATGGGTCCCTCAACAAAAATATACAAATTTAATTATATATACAAATATACAAAAATATACAAATATATTTAGAAATATAAACTAATTATTTCCCAAACCATGAGTCCCTGGATAGACAAAGAAAAAAAGAAAGAGAGGAAGAATGGGGGAGAAGAAAGTTTAAAAAGAGAAAGAGAAGGAAAAGAAAGAAGGAGGGAACATACATGTTTCTTATAAATGGGCTTTTTTCCCTATATCCCTTATCTTAAATTCATTTGACAAAACTGAGAATCTGAGCATCTGTCTCAATTTCTCCCTTTGTAAAATTCCTGTTAACTTGAGTAGTTACCAGGTCTTTCACTACTACCTTCTATACCACTGATACGGTCTGGATCTTCGGTACCAAATCTCATGTTAAATCGTAATCCCCAATCTCGGAGGTGGAGCCTGGTGGGCAGTGATTGGATCACGGTGGTGGATTTCTCATGCATCGTTTAGCATCATCCGCTTGATGCTGTTTTCTCTATGACAGTGAGTGAGTTCTCTCGAGATCTGGTCATTTAAAAGTGTGTAGCACCTCCCACCTCGCTCTCTCCTGCTCCTTCTCCTGCCCCTTCTCCTGCCGTGTAAGATGTGTCTGCTCCCTGTTGGCCTTCGCGATAATTCTGTCTCCTGAGGCCTCCTCAGAAGCTGAGCAGATGCCAGCATCATGCTTCCTGTACGGCCTACAGAACCATGAGCAGGCTGTATTGTAAACGCCTTTTTCTTTATAAATTACCCAGTCTCAGTAATTTCTTTATAGCAATGTGAGAAGAAACTAATACAACTTCTTTTCAAATTATCCTCCTTTCCTTCATTCCTGGTATTTTTTTAATTCAAGCATGTTTCACTTCTTACTTAGTACTTGCACCTTCTGTCTCAGGTCTCTTTCTGCTCTGCTGCAGCATCCATTCCAAAACTCAGGAGTAAGTACATCAATTCCCATGCTATTGTGATATTTCTTTTCCCATAAGACAAACACAAGACTTCTAAGCACGCCCCATAAACCCCAATGCCCCAACTCTCACCTTGGCGGTTTTATGTCCTACAGCTCCACAATATCTCTGGCTATACACTCCAGACTATGTGCTGAAACAGAGATAGGTCCTGGTCCCCATGTCACCATGCCTTTGCTGAGTTCTTTACCTAAATCCCATTTAGCTTGCAAGGCCCTCCTCTACCTTTGAGAATATTCTGAGGAATTACATTTCATTGGAAAATCTTTCCTCGTGGCACCTTCTCCCCACCCTGAATTTGTTCTCTGAGTTTTCACATTTCCTGCACATAAAGCTCACTAGATTATAGTCATTTACATATCTTTTTCCCTCTATTGCACTAGCAGCTCTTAAAGAACAGGAACTATGTACTATAAACATTTCTATCTGCAGACTTTGCAGTATCGAGCATTTAGTAGATGATCAATAAATTTTTGCTGATGAAATAAAACAAAATAATATAATTCTTATTTAACTTCTTTCGTTTTGAATTAGGTAATTCTATTTCTATTCATGATGAAATATGTGGTAAATCTACAACAAAAAAGAACATTTAAATTTTTAATTAAATACACACCTTATGAGAGCTATGGCTTTTGCTAGTCTTATCAAAACAGAAAATGTCATCTACTAAAGCTGACATTTTTTTTACTTGATGAGACTCACTATTTGCAAGTTACAGAGAGCCTTGCACACCAGTTCTAGGTTTGGTTGAATTAACATGGCCTTTCTATATTTGCAAAGTACTGACATTTAAGCTTGACACCATCCACCTGGCTGATGTGTGTTGCCATGAAACATGAGTAAATTGAAAAAGTGATATTATTTCTGAAAACATCATAATTTCCACTTTAAATACTTGAAAGGATAGAATTTTACAGGGCATTTCTTTTATTCTGATAAATGTTTAATTTCTAATAATTGACTTCCAGTTTAGGGCTTGTTTTACTTATTCCATTCATTACGCAAGGATTAACTCTTACTTTTCTAAGTGTCTATATGTGCATTATTACAAAACTTATTTCACTTAGGTAGATGTTTTTGTCCCCATTTTATAAATAAAATTACTGAGGCTTACTGATTTGTTCAGGTTGGAAATAAAGGACTTGAATTTAGATATTCCAACTCAATATATAGCTCAGACCTACTTATCCAGAGTTTCTTTATAAGCCTACAAATGAAGCAAGTGGGAATGTGTTGATCAACATTTTAGCTTGATTTTGGAAGGAGGAAAGAGGTAAAGGAGAAAATAAAAGTCAGTGACTTCCAGGCAGAACCCCTTTCTGATTAATTTGTGGTAGAAGCTGCTTACTAAGCAAAACCTCTGAAATGCTCAGGGCTCTTACAACCTCTTATAACTTCATACTCCATTTAAGATATCACTGAAAGAAACAAACAGTGACAAATATGAGGTTGGGAAGTCTCTGGGAGCAATTTATATGGATAAAAGATATGGTCAGTTTTCTTCATCTGATGTCACATTTTGCTTCTTCCTCCCTTTAGATAAAGATGAGCAATATTAAGTGTGTCAGGACACAGGTGACTCAGCTATAGAGCGACTCTGTCCAATATGGCAACTCTGTCCAATATGGCAACCACTACTTATAGGTGATTGTTGACAATACAACTTAAATTAGTAAAATAAAGTTTATCTGGTTTTCAGTTGCGCTAGTGCTGGCTTTGGCCTCATTAGCTTTGGCTTCATTAGCCTCATTAGCAAGATGTTAAACATGGAATTTCCATTATCACAGAAATTTTCACTGGGCAATGCTGTTCTAGAACCAGTACTACTAGTCACTCTCTGTAGAATCCTGGGCTAGTTGCATACCAAGAGTTCAGTTTCAAATTTGTAAAGTCTCTTATTTATCCTAAAGGCAAGAAATCTTCACTAGATTTGGTGATCTTGGGGCTGTAAACTTAATTATATTTAGATTTTTGTATTCAGAGCCCAAGTATAGGCATGATATACAGTGACTATTCTACATAGCTTGTGAAAACAAATGTATGGATATATTTGTTTTCCTTTTAATGATAGAATTTGTAATATGTCTCCATCCAGGTCTATTTACTTGATAGGAAATACATTGAACTGCTAAGAAAAGAACCCAAAGGGTGCTAGATATCCAATGCTTACCCATCCATTAGGCTCATACATTTATTATTTAATTTTATTTCCCACAATAAGCACAGTGTAGAAAATATTACAATATTAAGGTTTTTTTTAATAGCTAGTAAATAGCTGTACCAAAGATTCACACTCAAGTCACAGAGGGAAAACTCATTTTTCTTACCATCCTGGTCTTCTATAAAACAACAGAAACTTCTGAGACAACCCAGAATGATAAGCTCTTATTTAGAATATTGTGGTTTATGTTAAGTGTTTAACACATACTACTGCTTTTACTTCCAGGAATTAAATACGCTCTTGATTTAGGTATACCATATTATCCTCATGTTCTTTAAATCTTGCCTGCTGTACTATCTCAAGGCTTTTTCATAGCTTCTTCTTTCACTGACCTGAGTTTAAATGCCGGTGCTCATCCGAGTTCTAGCCTTAAACTCCTTGTCGTCTCCCACCAGAGCTTCCAGGCTAATTTTCAAAATGCTCATGGGAAACCCTTCATTAGTTACACAGACAATCATTTCAACACCCTGTTATCTTATTTTCTCCCCTTTCCCTGACTTTCCCCAATTTTTTCTCAACTCAACCTATGTTCATCCTTAGAATTTGTCACTAAAATGCTCTCTCTTTACGATCTTAATTTCAAGCAGCCCATCTCTGACTTTTTCTTTATTACTCCCTGTGATGGTAAATATTGAGTGTCAATTTGATTGAATTGAAGGGTACAAAGTATTGATCCTGGGTGTGTCTCTGAGGGTGTTGCCAGAGGAGATTAATATTTAAGCCAGTGGGCTGGGAAAGGCAGACCCACCCTTAATCTGGGTGGGCACTGTCTAATCAGCTGCCAGCATGGCTAGAATATAAATAGGCAGAAAAATGTGAAAAGATGAGACTGACTTAGCCTCCCAACCTACATCTTTCTCTTGTGCTGGATACCTCCTGCCGTTTAACATCGGACTCCAAGATCTTCAATTGTGGGACTTGGACTGGCTCTCCTTGCATCTCACCTTGTAGACAGCCTATTGCGGCACCTTGTGATCATGTGAGTTAATACTTAATAAGCTCCCCTATATATATATAATATATAATTATAGGATATTATATATATATAATATCCTATTCATTATTTCCCTCTAGAGAACCCTGACAAATACACTTCCCTTAGAACTTTGACTCCAATAATTTCTTGACTTGTCCTGAACCTCTAATCAATGGTATACCACCTTTTCCCTGCCCATGCCCTATTTACTTCCTTCACTCTCTGCCACAGATGCTCCAGTTTGCTCACTCTTTTACACACAGCATCAAAACATATCCCCACTCCATTACTCTCAACTACTGGATGTGTGTGGCTCTATGTAAACTTGATTAAGTCTCAGTCACTGCTTACTCCATGACTATACCAAAAGAAGCAAACTTATTTGGTAACTGGAAAAAAAAAAACAAAATCTTACTGGCTGTTCTCATGTATCTCCTTAGATCTTCCCAGCAATTCTATCCAATTTTCCGGTTCATTCTCTCAATGTCCTAGCTCTACAATTCCCAACTTAAAACAAACAAACAAAAAATCAATGACACAATGATGATGAAATTGATACAAGAAAAGGGAGGGAGGAAAGGGAACTCTGACAACCCTAGGAATCACCCATCTGCCCTGAATGCTGAGGAGATCAATAATAGCACACTCATAATCCATTAGCAGAACTCCACTTGGAAATCTCTGAGCTGGAAGACCTCTGTTCTTTACCTTCTCTCTCCTCAAATATTAACATCTCTTCCACAGCATAATTTGGGTTTGAAGATGCTGCTTCTATTCTTCCCTGGAAAATAGAAACAACCTGAAAAATTCTACATGTTCTCACCACTAAATCCTAGAATCTTTACGTAAAAATGCATGTATACTGCTTTAATTTTTATTGTAATTAATGAAATGCCTGTGCTTGCATTTAACTCTAAGGTTCCACTTGTGTAATGGATCCCATTGCATCACGTGTACTTAAGGACACTACTTCTGCAATTTACCTGTCTTTTTCTTGCCTGCTATTTTCTTGTAATGCAACTTTTCTGTATTCATAAAAACATCCTAAAATATTTACCATCTCACAATATCTGTGCTATTTTCCCACATCTTTCCAGCTGATGCCTAACTTCTTCACTTGCTTTTACCACAAAGTTCCTCACAGAGTAGTTTATATTCCTTTTCCCTCGTTACTTCTATTTCCCTTAAACCCAAGCCAGTCAAGCACTCAGGCATTTGCCCTTACCATTCCACAGAAGCAGTTTTGGTCAAAGTCATAGTTAATCTGAATGTTTCCAAATTCAGTGGTCAATATTTAGTCCTCATTTCACTCAAACTATCAGAATCCCTGTCAAGAAAGCTCTCTACTACCTTCTGATTCAAAATGTTCTTCACTTATTTCCTAGTCTCTCTCTCCCACTCTCTCTGGTCATCCCTTGCTCTGTTGTCTCCTCGTTTCTGCTACAGGGGTCCTCTCAATAGTTCAACTTACATCACCTCAATGTCCTGATTTTGCATTTTCTGAAGTTCAGTTATTGTACTTCCTCTCTCTTTCTATGTCTTTTCTCTCTCCACCCAACCCTTAGGTGGTATCATATGCTCCCATGGCATATTGGGCATCTATGTACTGACAATTCACAAGTCTCCCCGTTCCATCTTTCCAAACCTTAGAATCAAGTGTCTGAATGCCTGCATAATATTTGGTTGCTTTACAGACATCCCAAGCTCAACAAGCCCAAGGGTGTTGGCTAGAGAGATGGAGTGAAGCTTAATTCTTTGTATCTTTAAAGTTTGGCAAAAATATAAAGTATACATGGGCCTACCACAAACTAAATGTTCTTGTCCCCCAAAAATTCATATGTTGAAGTCTCTATTTCCAGTGTGATAGTATTTGGTGATGAGGCCTTTGGGAGATAATTTAGGTTAGATTCTGTCATGATGGTAGGGGTTCAATGATAGAATTAATGTCCTTACAAAAAAAGAAAGATGCTCTCTCTCTCCCTCTCTCTCTCTGTCTCTCCCTCCCTCTTTCTGTAAGAATAAAGCCAAAGAAAGGCCATGTGAGCACACATTAGGAAGCCTGCTGTCTATAAGCCAGGAAGACAGCTTTCAACAGACACCAAATCTGCCTACACCTTGATCTTGGACTTCCCAGCCTCCAGAACAGAGAGAAATGCATTTCTATTATTTAAGCCACCCAGCCTATGGTAGTTTGTTACAGCATCCTAATCTGATTAAGTGAGGGTCCTTAATAAATATTGGTTGAATGTGCAAATAAACAAATTAAATGAGAAAATATACACAACTAGAGCCTTAAGATCATCTTAAATTAATGAATTCCAGCTCAGCAATCTGATAGTTTAATACCATCTGTAACATTCTCTGCAACAGTCACTCAGTTATATGAAACTTCCAGTAACAGAAGAAAAACTAACATTTTTCACAATTAGCTCTTATTTGGAAGGACATTCCTTGTGATAAGTGCAACTCTTCTCTTCCCAAATGTTCACTTATTGTACCTCTCTTTGGTCTCTGTGTTTTTACTGAAATAACCTATTGACTCTTACAGATGGTAGCTTTTCAGACACAGGAAGGCATAAAGACTTCTTAACAACACATAAGCTGAAGCAGACCTGGGGCCACAGACATCAGGCTCCTGGTCACAAGAGGCTTTTTCTATCAAGAAAAGCTGAAACTATTCCAAGTAACCATCCTGCCCTCACATATCATCATGTTTCTCTTTTGATTTTTGACAAGCTCAGACAAGCACAGTTCATTGGAACACATATTCTCCTTTGGCCCAACTACATGGAGACACACAATGTTAAAATACAAGGCACTTAAAATACTACCTATTTCTTACCCCTACACCCCGTGTTCAGTGTCCAGAATAACAAATAGAAGCCAAAATCTTAATCCTTCTAGTTGACTCTGATTTTTCTCCTTGACTGCTACTCTTCTTGCAGTAACAAACTCTTGCTACGTATGTGATTTTATTTCTCATTCTAAGACTCATGGTCACTCCTAGGCAGAATTAACTTTCCCTGGGTGAACTATATCACTCTCTATTACAAATGGAAAATCTGAAACTATATCCGTCTTCTTTCATTGGATTAGTACTTCTGTCTGCTTTCATTACTGGCTGAATTACTGTTTAAACTCACCAAGTCTTGACCATGGGGCCAGATTTTGGCATTAACTACTTGGACTGTGTTTCTGCTGGAGTTCCCTTGCTCCCTCAAGAAAATATCTAATATGAATTAATTAAAATTAAGCTTAGGGGAAGTTTTGGTCCTCTAAACCTCTATTGCTTTCCCCCTAGCTCATTCTAGTTTCCACTTCCCAAAGACAAAGTATCCTATTGCCATCCTTCATCATTTCTATTTGTCTGACTTGAAATGTTTCAACATCTCACCACCTGGACTTGAGGTATTAATAGAATCTGGTGGGCTTAGACATGCTTAAAGCTCAACTTTCCAGAATTTCTTAAGTAATGTCCTTGCATATTGCACATTCTGATCCATTTTCCACCTGTACCAGCACAATCTGTTTAATATGCAAATCATATTATGCCATTCATTTGCCTAAAGCTCTTCAGTAAATTCTCATTGCACTCCTAGCAAGGTTCAAACTCTTCATAGTGATAAGTGAGGACTTGTGTAAATTTATTCAGCCTCCCTCTTCCATTTTATCTTCACCTTGCACTCATGACCAGACTGTTCCCACTAAAAACCCTTCCTCCCCTGTGCATCTGCTTTCTCAATGGCCCCTGCTGTCATGGACTTCCATTGTCAGGAGCCAAGGATGCTAACAACTGCCAGGTGGGGAAGTGGAACAGTTTGGGTGGGATAGATGGGGATGGCCTCGCTAACATGGTAACATTTGAACATACCCCTCATAGAGTTAGTAGAGGACATGATGAGAATGTGGGAGAAAAGAGAGCTCCAGGCAGTGGAGAACGTCATTGTTCTAATGACCCTGAGACAGAGCGTGCTTGGCGTTTTCCAGAAATAGCATGAAGGCCAGCGTTGGTAGAGCAGAGAAAAACAAAAACAGGGGGTGATAGACTGAGGGTAAATTAGAAAAAAAGATTATGTAAGAATTTAGGGACGGTGATTAGGACTTTGATTTTTTTTAATAGGTTAGGTCATTTTGAGGAGAGGAATAAGTTACTTAAACACCCATTTGTGAATTCAAAAAAGTAAGAAAGAAAATGAATCTGGGAGGTTACATGAGTAGACCAATTTCACTCAGTCAGTAAGAGTAGGACCAGGACTTGCATTCAAAGCTGGAACTGAAAACAATGTGATTTCAGCAGCTGCCTCAGAATAGAGTAGCTTTAATAGACGCAGGACACAAGAAACTTAATGAGAGGGGGAAAGTCCAAGCTTGGTAAGATAGGAGTTGTGACAGAAGAGAGCTTATAATGTCATGGTAGTATTTTTTAAACTTTATTTTACATTTTGTGATATAACCTATCACTTATAGGACAAATTGATATAGGGTGGCCATTCTTTTTTGGTAGGGAATGGTAAAGAAATATGTAATGATTACATTTATCCTCTAATTTGCTCCTCTTAAAATTTCCATCAGCCCTGAAATGTAGCAGTTTCACTCCCTTTTTGATGACCACCTGCTTTTCCAATCAGAGTGGCAAGACTGCTAACCTTGTCCTAAACATGTGTCTTTGTTGTGAGTAGCTATCTCACTAGCAGAAGATTTTATTTTATTTTACAGTCTTGAGAACGTAAAATAAATAAGGAGCCTGAAAGCAATCATGTCAGATACATCTTTCAAAGATTCTGCCAAGATCTGTCAACCTGAGCCTCTAAATAACCAGTGACAAATGTTGTGTTGACATATTTCTCTATTTCCTAGTGAATAATTAACGGCAAATGTCAAGAAAGAGTGGTGTAATAATTTCAAACAAATAAAAATCTACTTCCAATTCATGTCAAGCATCCATAGCCTCTCCATTATAGATATACTTCTGAAACAAAGAAAACTATTTGCAAAATCATCAGGAAACTAGGTGCCTTCTAGGAATGGTGGAATTTTCCTCCTTTCTTTTCATTGTCAGAGCACAAATAAACAGAGAGCTAAAAGTGTAGAGAAGCAGCTGAAGACATTTGATGAAAGGATCTGTTATTTCTCTGGCATTAGAGGCAGCGTGGTGTGAAATGAACAGTTTCTTAAGTCAAACAAACGAAGGTTCAAATCTTGAATCCAACACTGACTGGCACTATGACCCTGAGCTCCTAAATCCATGTCTTAGTTTTCTCATTTGTTAAACAGAGGTAATAACCCCTAGTTTGCAAGGCTGTTGAAGGATCAGGATAATATATACTTACATCGTGAGGGTCAAACCAAATTTGATGTGCACTGCCACAGCGAAGATTCTCTATGAGTGAAGGAGTAAATTGATGAATGAATATGCTCCCATAATACCTTGCTTGCAGTGGGCATCCACAAATTGTGTTTCTCTTGTTTCCTTTTTCAATTAACACCTTTTTATAGGGATTCATCTCTGTGTGTAGGCTCTTTATGTTGTGGGCAGGAAAGTGCAAAATTAAGGGAGCAATCACAAGTTAATAAAACTTTCTGGACTTAATGTTTATCTATAAAATCGAAACATTAGAATTTACAACAAAAGGCATTATAAAGATTAAATAAGATTTTGGGTATTAAGACTTTAGCATATCATCTGGCTGATCAATAGCAGTCAGTAAATATGGATTAAATTTGAATCATCTAAGATTCACATTTTTTCCTGATTGCTAAATTTAGAATGTATTCTTCTAACAGCTAAAAACAGAAAGTTCTTCTTTGAGTTCAACTGAGTAGTTTTCATAGTAGAAAAAAATATAAACATATACTTTTATTTTTATAGAGGTTCATTAATTAATTCCACATCTATTCTTGAATTACATATTTTCAACACATTTTATACCAGAAGAGAATCAGCAAAAAAGATTGAAAAAAAACACTATGCCTACTTCCTGAGGCATACTCCATTATGATCTATGACTTTCCTTGTCATATAAGAGTAAGAAAATCATATTTCTACTTAAATAGGTGATTGAAGATTTTTTCCTCAACTTCTTGCCTCATAAAAATAGATTTTTTTTTGCAGCTAGATAATGTTTGTATTACATATTTTTAGAGTGGCCCTTGTTAGAATATTTGTCTGCCTATTAATTTTTAAAAATTGGCTCAGCCAAAAACAAACCAGACTAGATGATTTTTTTACTTGTGATCATAAAATATCATCTTAATTTTAATTTCTCATTTGAAATTTTATCTTTTTTTTACATACATCTAAGTTTCATGTACATTTACAAATATAAGCCTATAGGGCAGAAGTAAGTAAGCTATGGCCCACTGGATAAATATGGCCTGCCACATTTTTTGCATGGTTCTCACAAAATAAGAATGACCATTATATTTTGAAATGTTTTTAAAAATCAAAAGAAGAGCACGATTTGTGACAAATGATAATTATATAAAATTCACATTTTAGTTTCCTTTAAAAAAGCATGATTGGAGCATAGGCATACTTATTTATTTACATATTATCTGTGGCTGTTTCCATGTTATAATGAGAGAGTTAAGTGGTTGTGCTAGAGACTGCCTGTCTTTTAAAGCTTAAAATATGTGCTATATGGTCCGTTATAGAAAAAGTTTGTCAATCCCGTCTCTAAAGTACCTTAAAAGGTTTCCATATATCTATACATAAATTATGAACCAATTTTATAGCTGAGTTCCAGAAAAGTTGTGCTTTACTTAAAGACGCACCAATAATCAGATATGTAGCTTGCACTGGAAAGTAGATCTTCTCATTGAGGAGACTGGTGAATAAAGATGTAAGTGGTGAAGATACCATTATATTAAAATGATTTATAAATTGCATGGGGAATTTATGAAAATCCAAACTTGCTAACTATGAATTTATCTGTGAATGTCTAGAGACTGCTGCACTTGGCAAAAAAAAAAATCCTTCCCAATTCAAATCAAATTTGTTTTCTTCTTTGTGGATTAAACATTTATGGGTTACATCTATTGGATCCTGAATAAGATTTTCATTTGCTGATACAAATGCTTTGTTGGCCAAGTGCTCCATCTGATTGATGCAAGTTCTTCTTTCTTCTTCATACAACTCTCCATGCTTATTATTTTCACCCCCTCTTTGTCGACATCCAGAAAGTCTGTATCTTCTAAAAAAAAACATGAGGGCACTGAAGACAAGAACAGTTTCAGTTTCAAAGAGCTGATGAAATTTACTAAACTCTGACCTAAAATAGAATGACCATGTGGATTTCAATCACGCAATTCAGCCTTTCTTTGTGATTATTCAATTTTTCCCAGATACAATTCAGCTCTGAGACTGCAATTTTGATAGAATTACTTTTATTAGTAATTTATCCAGCAAACTCAGGGAAAATGGATGTTCTGTTCTTTTTCTTCTTTACATAATGGCTCACTAAAAGACTATGTCTCAGAACTTGGTTGATTGTGCCCATATCTTCTAGCAGCGCGAGACAAAACCAACAGTGAACACAAGAAGCAACTAATTGTAGGCAAAGTGACAGAGACTGATAACCTGATACATAAAGATGGCTTTGTTTCTTTACTTGGCCAATGATTGAGGCCTGTTTAGAGGGGAAGTGATGTCTCATTCAAGCAACAGGATGATAGAGCTTCAGAGACAGAGATTATGAACAATTTAAAAATAAAACATACAATGGCCAAAAGAAGGGAGTTTGGATTTAGGCAAGTCTGACCTCAAGTGTAGCTTTTTCACTCAAATGCCTTGGAACACTAGGAGTATTTAAATTTCCTGAATTCCTTACCTAAAAAGGTGGAGATGAGCTGCTGCTGCTGCTGCTGATGATGCTAGTCCCTAGTTACATTTTCTTAGGGTTATTAGGATGATTAAATGAAATAGTGCACATATGAGTATAGTGACTGGTACACATAGGAATAATACATGTCAGTTAGAATAATAAAAATTAAATAAAAACACACAACTACACTCGTTTTTTCCACTTTATCGTTATCACAAAGGAGCACATTTAAACTGTAGGTTTAAGGTGATGACATTTCAGCTGGAAGATGAAATAGCAAAACCAACTCCATTCACTTGTAGGCATAATGGTAAGCTATTACAGATATAACTGAGAATAAAACCCAAGGCAGCAAAACAGTAATATAACCAAGATCCTTGGGGGCATGTAAGGGCAAAAAGAAAAAAAAGGTGCGGGGAGGGAGCCAGGGAGAGAGAGGCTTAGTTATCAGAACTAGGGCACCTAGTTTCTGTCGGGTAAATAGCAGGAATATCAGATCTGGATCTTCATGCTAGCACCAAAATGATGTAGTTAGAGTTGCTTATTTACTAAGTATCCCCAGCTGTGGTTGATTGACGAGAATGAATTCCAGTCTCAGAAAATAGAAAGATCAGACAAAAATAAAAGTACAAAATCAATATGCACTGCTCAGAAATCCCAAACTTCTTTTCTCACCTTTCTCCTTCAAAAGTCTTGGAAAATATTTTCAATTACACCTATATATCTAATAAGCATTGACTGGATGATCAAAGTGGCTGGAATATAGTAAATATATGATACATGCTAATTGATTAATAAATACACAAATAAATTAATATTAACACTATGGTACTGTTTAAGTGTTGGAGATGTGTTGATGAATAAGACATTATCTCTATACTTAAGAAGCTCACAATTTAGTGGCTGAAGCAGACATTTTAATGCAAATTAACATGAGATAACTGCTTAATGTCATTCATTTGGGGGCTGAATTTTAGAATTTTCAGTGTGTCCAGATATATTTCCTCATTTGATCTTAAAAATAGCTATGTGCAAAACATATTTTATTTTTAAGTTATATCTGGAAAAAAAAAGACCAATGAAATGATATCATTAACCTAAGGTCTTAGCTAATTCACGTAAGAAGTATCAGAAATAACCATTATCCTCTTCCTCTAATCCTAATACTCAGTAAGGACACTCCACTGACATCTCCTTATCTCTTAGCAATAATGCTCAAATGCATCCCCAGTATCAATAAGACTTTCCGAGTGCAAAGGCTAATTCCAGGCTTAGTTGCAGAAGAGGCAACATAATAGAAATGCCTGATGTCCAGATGGGAAAGAGTAAACTTATAGTTTTGTTATTGGTCTCCAGAGAATTTCCATATCTTTTAAGGATCAGCATCACTGAAGCCATCCCCATATTTAGGATTTCCAAAATTACAGTGACATACAGCAAGTGAGACTTTTATGTGTTTATGAAGAATCTTGTTAAAGAAACACATCCAGAGAAAGATAAATGAAGATAAAGGATTAACATATTCCCACATGCATAAACCTTGAAGTTATAATACATATAGATTCAAGGTTTATGATAAGTAGAGCCTAGAATAAAGTATTCACAAGCTGATGTTGATTTTCTAGGATCAAATGGGGCATTCCGAACACCCTTGCTTAGTGATGAGGCTGACTCACAAAGACAGAGACAACTGAATGGATAGCAGTAACCAATAGAATGTAATTAATTGGTTGAGACTTGTTGTGGTATTTGATGGGTATGCTCTGCTGAACGAAGGCTTTAGCAATAGGAGTGTCAGGGTGAAGATATTTGTTACAACTTAGTAGCTAATTTCCCATAGGCTCTACATCAGGAGGTCAGTTTAAGTTAACACGGAACCCACCCAGCCCACCACAACTGCCAATCCTGGGACATCCAACCCCCTAAGCAGAGATCCTAGGCACTGCACTGCAGTATATTAAAGCCCCGGTCATGTAGACTGAGATGTAGGACAGAACTTCTCTACCAGTGGGTAATTAGAGTTCAATTTTAGATCCAAGGGGGAGAACAAATCCTGTAATCAATGACAAATCTAGGATTTATAGGGGAAGAATGTTGTTCTGGGCATATGCACACCTAATGTTTTACCACAGACAAAAATGGTCTGAGACAGGAAGACTAACACCAAATCTTACTCTAATATACTACAAGGATTATTTTAAACTGCTCACAGACCAGGTAAAGGAGAGTCCTAATAGATAAAGATCTTCATTTCTGGCCACATTATTAGACTTTGGCAAACTAAGGCCAGTTGCAGAGGTGGTGAACAAATAGCCTGGAGAAGATGTGTATTGTACACAGGAATATGAATGCACTGCTCTCCTAGGAAGTAATAAACATAGATATGGGCTCACTCAAGTATTGAAAATAGATAAAAAGATAACATCTCATATATTATCATAATTCACTGATATTCACTGAAGATGTTTTTTTCTGTCTCTGTAACGCAGGCATATAAGAACATAGTCTAGAGAATTATAATCTTGGCTGACCTCACAATCAATACCTATCTGCAGTAGCAGATTAATCTTTTGGAGATAAAAAACTAAAAAGAAAACCTTGATTCAAATTTCATGCTCCCAGTGGTATCTGAGTGTGACTGTCATTTTGTTTCTTTGGTTCAGCAATTTATCAAATTCTATTTTGGGGAGAAAAATTCTATCTTCCATTCCACGTACCCCTTCTAGAGATACCACAAATTCTTCCACACTAAATTATTTTGCGTCTGTAGCATCAAAGAACTGGAAAGTAACCTCATGGTCCACCATGTTTAAAACCACTTATGTTGGAGATGTGAAAAAACAAGGAACTCTAAGGGAGAAGATATCTGTAAGATACAAATTCAAAGTGCTCTAAAGTCCAAGAAAAGAGAAACAGGTATGTCCCTAAGGTTATGACAAGCTGTCACATGCTGACCTCTCAATGATCTCAGAGTTCTTGTCTGCTTTCCTCCATCAATGATAGAGACAAACACAGATATTGGCCAAGGCCAGGTTTCTGGTATAATAGGGCTTCTGGCAGGCCTAGAAAAGTTTGACTTCTTTTGCATCCGTATGACATACTCCACACAATCCTGATGTTGACTTCTCTTTTCTAAAGGGCTGATGTACTTATTAGGGCTGAAGCCTTCTTCCAGTTGCAAGATGTACTTCTTCACTATTATAAGTCAACTCAGGGACTGGTGGCCTAAAGGAAATAAGAGTGGGAATAAAGACTTTGGTCTTTTTCTACAGCAGGCCAAATAAATTGCTATATAGTAATTCCCACGTAGTTCAGATGATCCCACTTGATTCAGGCTTCAGAGGTTGAGTTGGAAATTATTAATTTCGATGCATTTTTTTGGTCTTAGCTTTCTCTGAATATACATCTGACTTTATAACTAGACTGCTGCTGTGGTTGTGTTGAATAGATGACAGACTGTTACTAATAAATGCCTTCCTTCCAAGATTCTCCCAGATCCTCTCTGATTTTCTCATATACTTATACTCCAATCCCATTCCCTCCCTTGATTCTACTGTCCCCCAGTGAATGTTTGTGTCTTCATCCCAGCTTATCATTTGGAGGTAACACATGCAAACTAAACCCTGTGAAAGGGCCACATTGATACGATGAAAATCCCACATCACTTGGCACAGACATTGAGCTTATTTGAAAATATGCAATTATTAGACTATTAACACACCATGGTCCTCTCCTAGGAAGAAATCTTAACATGAGGTTATAGAAAGAGGTTTACAAAATAAAATATGTGAGATCATTTATATATAGATTTTATCTGTTATCCCTCCCCTAGAGGAAAACACAAATAAGCAAGCAATCAAGCGAAATGCTTAGAAACACTTTCCTCCTAAAACTGCAAAAAAGAATTGAATGAAAGAAAAGAGTCTATATTTTATTCTGGGAGACCAATCCCATGTACTACACAAAAAAAATCCCAATGTGTTGAATAGATCTTGTCAATCACAGTCCCTGAGAGGTGGCCAGTCTCCCTGGCCTTGGCCTGCAATGTCCCTGCTGTGCACACCACACATGGTGAAACACGTACTCAACCTGTTTTCTCACTTCAACTAGGGAATTAATCTCAATTGTCCACTAGCTCCTGTAGGTCCCAGCTCCCCTTTCCAGCTCTGTGCCCTGCTCTGCTGATTTCTTTGAAACTGAAGTTGATGGCTTAATTCTAATATTTATATTTGTGAATCTTTTCGCAAAGGAAAACAATTCAACTTCTAAGTTCCTCCATGAGACATTGTAATGCTTGCTACCTTCCTTTTTTCTTCTTGCTTGTATTTTAATTGTTTGTGAAGGGAAAGCGTATCTTTTACTCAAGACATTCAACTGTTTTAGGTTCTTGTATTGCTATAAAGAAATACCTGATGCTGAGTAATTTACAAAGAAAAGAGGTGTGACTGGCTTATAGTTTTGCAGGCTTTACAGGAAGCATGGTGTTGGCATCTGCTCTGCTTCTGATGAGGCCTCAGGAAGCTTACAATCATTGTGGAAGGCAAAGGGGGAGCAGGTATCTCACATGGTGAGAGTGGGAGCAAGAGACATGGGAAGGTGTCACATACTTGGAAACAACCAAGTCTTGTGAGAGTTCACTCACCATCGCTAGGACAGCACCAAGCCATGAGGGATCCTCTCTCATGACCAATATACCTCCCACCAGGCCCTACCTCCAACACTGGGGATTATATCTCAACGGGAGATTCAGAAGGGATATCTGAACTCTGCCATCAACCCAACAGTTTCAGAATGTACTCTCCTCTCTCTGGCAACATGGAAGAAAGGAAGGAGGAGTTGAGTGCTCAGTTGTTCAGAAGGCAGGTCTTGAGACTACACACTACTTTTTCAGCTGAGGTGCAGGACAAAAAATAATCTTGGAAAAGGAAGAAGAAAAGGCTTATTTACATGTGTCACCTTTTCGATTACTGAAACTCCAGTAACTCTACATGTGGCCAAATCAGTACTTTTAATCTGACAGACCACACTTGTATCTATTCCTCTTGGGGAAGACAGAAAGTGAAGGTTTGATAAAAGAGAAGAGTCTGTACTCTCTCCTTAGAGACCTGTCCCATGTGCTGACAACAACCCAGGGATTAGGCCACAAAAGACACAAAATATCCTTCACAAAATAAAGAAAAAAATGGTATTTCCCAAACTTCATAGTTTTAATCAGTTGAATATAGTGTCTGTGTTTAGAATTTTGTGTTGATATGCTCTTTTCATGTTTAAAGGCATTTTTCTCTGCTTCTCTGGCTTCCATCTAAGTTGTTATCATTGCTAGGTTGGCCATCAGCGTTATTGTTGTCCTGATAATGTGCTTTTTTTCTCTTTTTTTTCCAGCTAATTTTATAATTATTCTTATTATCTTTCATTTTAGCAGTGTGATTGGGATGGACCAAGGTGAGGTTTTTCCTGTGTATTTCTACAAGATATTTTTTCTAAGCTTCTTAAACTTATGGATTAATATGTTTTATCACTTTTTGAACATTTCTGGACATTATATCTTCAAATTCTGTTTCTGACCCCTGTTCAACACAAACATGAGAACATTCAAATATGTCACTTATGTCTCATCTGTACTGTTTTGCTAATTTAATTTTCTTGCTTTCATGTTTCAATTTGGATATTTTTGATTTATCTTTCTTTATCTTTTCATCCAATTAGTACTTAATTGTAGGTATTGTAGTTTGGTGTCTACACTATCTATTTGAATTTTCTTTTAAGATGTCATTTTTCTGTTTTTAATAACTGTTTTAAAATCTTTCTCTGTGATGCAGCATGGAAGTGGATGTGCTTTCTTGATGGAAAACCAATCTTTAGCCCATATTCTACATCAGCACATGCCTTCAAGAAAAACAGCGGAAGGACTTAGCTCATCTCAAAATGGTTCATTCTGCTCTGGAATTTTCATTCCCATTGCTCTGCTTCCACAAGTTTAGAATAATTGTAAAAATATGAATTTTATAATTTGTCTCTATTTCTATATATCTGCATTTGTTGCAGTATTAGTGATGGCCTGCCACAATTAGTCCATCTACTCAGAAGTGAAGGTAGAAAAGTATAGATCCGAATTCCAACTTATTCACTTACCAGCAATTGATGAGGTTCTGGACAAAATACTACTGAGTATCAGTCTTTTCATAAACAAAATGAAGTTGATATTTTATTAGGTATGTGACCTTCATCAAGAAGGTGCCAAGTAATGTTTTGTATTTCCAAGCCTACATGTTTTTCTCTTTCTCCCACAAGATTTTTGACCTTTTGTTATTAATTCAACAGTGACCTGCTTTTAGGTTTATTTTCTTCTGTAGCAAATTCTATTTGTGTCACTTGCTTTGTTGCAATGAAAGATTGTGAGCTTCTGGGCATGATATTCATAGTGCGTAAAATATGAAATCGCACTGAGAAGCAATGTTGTGGAGCACGAGCAACAAACCAACATAGACTTGACTCATGCAAATGGAATGGCAGCTTGTAGATCATCCAAGGGCAGATCAAGGTCAATGAAAACTAAAGAAAGGTACCATGTGTCATTCTCCAAAAAACAAAGCCCCAGTTTCATTATGCAGATTGAGTGTATTAGGGCATTTTAATGGGAAGGGGCTAAGTCTGAAAGGAAGAGAAATAAGTAGAATTGTAAAATATAGACAGTGTGAGGCAAATAATGAAAGGTGGTAAGCACCAAATGAACAGAAAGCACAGACCAGAGACTGTAAAAGTAAGGTATGAAGGAGCAAAGTAACATTTTCAAAGGAGGCAAAAACAGTCATGACAGATGGGGCACACTATATCAAAAGACCAACAGCGAAAGAGAAAATTTTGCAGAAGGAGACAAAAGGAAGAATACACAGTGGGCAAAGAAGGAGAAATACGGCAGTGTTGTAAGAAGTAAAGAAAGAAAGGAGAAACCAAGGAAGGGAAGAGGAACAGGGAGAGGACAACAAATAACCTACCCAAAGCTCTAGGAGGAGAAAAAGGAGAAGAAACAGAGAGAAAAAGTTCTTCTGTGAGTTAAGATTGACAAAAAGAGAGATTGCAAACCAAACAGAGGTGTGCAAAGAAAGGAGATACCATAGGAGGAAAAGGGAATGAGAGCAACCAGAAAGAGAAAACAACAACCATAAGAATATAATTAAAATGATATTTAGTTCAAGGAAACACTTGCAGTGTGCTAGATGCCCTGCAGACTGGGCACACGTAATTCACACACAGGCACACAAAAACATGTCATGTATCTACTATTTTCTATATTTTATAAAGGTTGAAAATATTATCCAAGACCATGTAGGTGGTTAAGCTGGAAATCCATCCTGGGTTTGTATGTCTCTAAAGATCATGTCCTTTTCACTCTGCCAAACACAGAGATTGGAGAATGCAGAGAGGAAAAAAAAAAAAAAAAAAGATGATAGCTGTTAAAAAAAGATAAAAGATGGAGACAGAGAGAACCCAGATGAAGGGTTGTACACCTAAGGCTCACTTGCCAAGACTGTAAGCCGCCCTCCTCTAAAAAAAAATAAAAACTTTTCACGTTGATTTATCCAGTGTGGAAACGTCTACAGAGGAAAGCACGTTCTTTCGGTGTTAAGTCACTCTGATTTAAGGATGTGGACACCTAACTTACTCAAGCAAGTTTGAGATACGGTCTTTGCTTTCCAGCTGTATCTCAATGTCAGATTGAATCAGGAGGCTGCTCAGCAGGCTGCCCTGGATTTCTGGGCTGCCTTGTAGAGAAGGCCAAGGCTCTTTGCCCCAGGGCCAAAATTAATCAGGAATAAAAAAAAAGAAGAGACTCATTGCAAGACAACATTGGAGCAAGTGCAGGTTAAGTACATATCACAAACGTATACCAAGGAAATCAGGACCAGGATGTGATCCAAGCGATTCTGAAGAAGTGTTGCACACAAAATGGCAGTGATAGAACGAGATCCCAGATGATGGAAGAGGGATGGGGACCATGAGAGTGGGAACCAATATCATTCTTCTTTGTCCTACTATTGTTAAACTAATTCTGGTCATCACTGTGATTTTGCGGTTATATCTTAGTAATTGTTTTGTCTTTAATCAAATCCTCCTCTGCATTATAGCTCTCACTTTTCCTGTGTTCATTCTCTCAAGGGAGGCCAGGCCATCTCAGTCCATGGCGCATGAGACATTTGATTTCTACTTGCTAGCTTGACTGTGAAGACATTTTACAATATGCTTTTTATATTTTTATAATATATTTTATAAATTATTTATAATTATATTTATTTAATCATTTATAAATATGTAGTTATATTTAATTATTTATGTATAATCACTTATAAATCTATTTTATAAATAAGATTTTTTATAAGTGATATATTTATAATATATTATGAATAGGCCTTTTATATATTTATAAAGAATGAATATATAATAATATATAGTAAATATGTAAATATTAAATATACATTTATATGTATAAATATATAAAAGGCATATTGTAAAATGTCTTCACAGCCAAGTTAGCAATGAGAAATCAAATGTGTATATATACACATATATAATGCATATTGTATAATATATGTATATCTCCTTATCTCCTATATAATCCCTTCATACATTTTAAGCTCTAATTATGTTTTCTAATTATGAATATGTGTTATGATCGCTGACTTCAAGGATGACAAGGATTTGATGCAGCATGGAATTGTCTGGAATTGGACTTTAAAAATGAACTTGAATGAGTATTAGAATCACTGAAGGTTGGATGCTGGTAGAGATTTCAGGCAGTACACTCTTATCTGCCTAATATGCTGTCACTATTTCTTTAGGAGCAAGAAACCTCAGTCATACCCTAGGCCTCTTCTGTGGATGCATAGGCATAGCTCGGCAAAGGCTTCACTTGCATCCAGACATGGCTTATGGCTCCTGGTCTCATGGCCTGAGCTACAGCATGAAAACTGCTTAAAGTACACACCAAGGACTCTTGATAATCAGGTTTCATTTTCTTACCTACATGACACTCACTATGAGAGATTAGAAGGAATACCAGGCAACTTTCTAGACGTATCTATGTTTCTCCTTATCTGTGCATCCTTAGAAAAGTCACTTAGATTCTGTAAGATTCAGCCATTAAATCCAGGGGGAAAATATTTTACCTAAAATTTTTTAACAAAATAAATTGAACACCGAAGAGAAATTTTGGGATAATTTCTCTGCATAAAACGTAGTCCTAGATTGAGAGGCAAGACCCCTCAATTAACATTGACAATTAACATTGTCACTAACTTGTTGGAATTCCACTGGATAAGTTGTAGTTATAACCTTTCTTCACAACTCAGTTACTTTCAGCTGGACTCCCTCAGCTGCAAACTGGTGGCCAGGGACCGAAGTACATCCATGTTTTATTTAGTCTCGTAAATTTTGTGTGTGTGTGTGTGTGTGTCAAAGTTTGTTTGTGTTAGCATTCAAATATCAAATATTGCCACAGTAAACTATTTAGAGCACACTGATAAAAGTTATTTTTAAAAGCTGTCCTGAGAAGTGAGAGGATCTGCCTGCCTTCACAGAAAATCTTAGCATGGATGTGAGTAGCTGTTGTCTTCTTTTGATCTGGTTTGTGTTTCCTAACTTGCCATACCCCCTGTCTGTAGTTTTCACTCATTTGTGATATCTGCTTAACCCCCAAGGCTTCAGTATTTGTGGCTGCTGAGATAATTTCTAGGCTCCTTTTCAACTTGAAAATTTTGTGATTCTGAGCATAAGACATGACTCTTATCTTTAAGAAATGTATTTTCAATCAATCAAAAAATTTATTTGGAGTACTAAGAATCCAGAGTATTGAACTAAGAGCCTCAGCTGGCATTTATGTGATTACCTACCAAATTATGTTTTCCTTTCTCCTGTGTATTTTTAAATAAATAATGCCTGCATCAATTCCCCTTGACATTAATTCTATTATTCACGTTAATATGACAGGTATGTAAAACTACCACTGCAAGCTCATTACAAGGGATTTCTTTATCACAGCTGAAGTTAAAAGGTCCAATAATTGCTAATGCTAACAAAAGTAGCCACTATTACTTGGCTTTTAAAATATAATTACATGACAGGAATTCTCTGCTTCATTTTCCTTACAACGCCTATGCAATCTCCATCTAACAAAATTAGAGATGGATGAACCATCAATAAAAAATGCAAACTTACCCATGCAGGAAGTAGGAATGTCAAAGCTTATTTTTTTTTTGCAAAAATTTTAATGGAACCACGAGAAATTAAAGAAAGTCTAAGTTGAATTCCTACGGTGTTTAAGCCTTATAAAGAGAATGAAGCATGTGGTCTGAACTCAAAGTGAAAAGATGACTTGTGGGTATTGCAGAGCCCCACTAAAGCTCCAGTCTGGTGAATTTCTCATTCCAGAAATTAACCCTTCATGCCTACAGCACTGGAAATTTTGATCTAACATCCACAGGGAGTGGTCAAAGAAAGCCAGAGTCACTTCTTTCTCCCTCAATTTGCCTGGCAAATTCTCAAAGTAATTGAACCCAACACTGTTTCTTGGTTACCCTTGTATGTTCACAACTTAATGAAACTGAAGAAAACTAGACAAACTTTCAACTCATTGCCATCAAGGAATCCTCTTGTTCTCCTTGTTACTAGTTCAGCATTTTCCTGGTGCTTGCTCTCTGTCATAGAGAGTAATTTAATAACTTGACCTCTCTTGCCATCCCCAAAGCCCCTTCTACCATCTTTACTCTCAGCAGAGAGCCTTCCTCTCCTGAGAAAATAGAAGCAGTAAGAGGAGAAGCTCCATGAAATCCCACCACTTCATTTTACAACCACAGGCTTCTGGGACCCTCATGCTACCTTTCGTACTATGGCTCAGGAAGGACCTCTGAGCTCCTGTCTGGAGCTTCTGTTGATGCCTGAATCATGTTCCTGCTACCGGGTGAAGGGTGCTGCCCCTCCAACTCTTCTCTCTTTCTTTCGGCATCATCAATTTTCACTTCTGCACAAGGTCATTGACAACAGGACACAAAATCTATTCTGAAATTCAGAATGAGAGTGATTAAAAAGAAGAAGAGGCATCATGGAACTCTGCTGCTCAAGCCCACCAAAGGCTTCTGGTCTGCATCAGCATCACCAAGACCCTAAATATCTTTCTTACATTCTTTGCTTTGTCTCCTCCATCTTTGCCTCATTGTACATTGCTCCAGCTGCGCTGGCCTCTTTTAAGTTTTTCATAAAATTTCCAGGAATGTTTCACTGCAGGAATTTTTTTTCACTTTCTATTCCTCCTGTCAGGAGGAATAGAAATATACAGCTAATGTACATCTAATAGGAATGTACATCTTCCTCCAGATGTACATGGGTCACTTCCTCACCTCCATCAGTTTTGAGCTCAAAAGGCACCTTCTCAGTGGGTCTTTCCCTAGCTACCCTAGGGTAATTTAGACACCTTCCTGCAATTGTTCCTACCTCCTTTTCTCATCTGCTTTTCTCCATAGCAAATAACCATTCACTGAGACACTGGGCATCAAAAAACACTATTTATTTAGTGTCTGTCCTTAGCCACTAATATATGCACCCTGAAAGACAGCTGTTTCATCTAATGTATTTAATGATATATCCCAGAAAAATAAAAACAGAACCTGGCATACAGTCAGTATTCAATACATTTTGGTTAAAACGTTAGTACTGAATAATCATATACTAATCTAATTTCCAAAAAGGATTTAAAATAGTATTGAAAATTGATTCATGGCCATATCTTATCAATGATGAAGAATGCAAACTGACAAGAGAGAAATCCAGTAAATAACTGGGATGACTTCGTTGCTGGATCTGATCTTTAACTTGAGTGCAAAAAAATTCTTGCAGTATTTCCTTTAAAATTTGAAGTATTTTAAGTAGAATGCTTCTTCATAGCCAAGCTACAGTCCACTTATAGAAACTTTGAGGCCAACTGTGACCTGCTGGCTAAACTCAGGCGCAAAATAACTTGCTTCCCACCCATCCCTTTCCCAATGTCCTGGAAGGATACGTGCATACTGGTTATTCCCACTTATCTCTTCATCCCTAGTTCTTCTTCTGCTTTCTCTGCCTGTGGAGTCTTCAATACTACATCATCTGGGCTTTTTTCCCAGGTGATGTCCAGAATGGTTCTTCAAATAGGCACTTCTAACCGGGGATTTCACTGAGGATCGGATGGTGGAAGGCGAATGCTCAAGGTATGTATTTTTTCTACCACTTCCTAGCTTTGGTGTATTTCTGTCTGTGGCTGATCCAACGTCTACAGAGTCTTTTGGGCACCTCATTTTCAGTGCACCAGCTCCCATCCAGTAACATCACCCCGTCTCTGCCCCCACTGATCTGTTAGGCTTAAGAGAAGTAATGGCTTCCTCTCCAGTTAGCACCTCATTGTCAACTGCTAATTCCCTTTATCAGGCCCACACCTCTTACAGCATCCTTTCTTTTAAATATTTCCTTAAAAATCCATGCCCACCGCCTCCCTGCATGTGCCTTCTGTTTCCTGGTCTGTCTGTTTCTTATCTTTCTGTCTGTCTTTCTTCATGTTTTCTTCCTGACTCAGCACTTCATTGAGCGCAGAGTAAAACTCAATGTGAACTCTGCCAGGGCTCACAATTCCACAGATAAGCCATTTATTTATTTCCAGACTGGAAGATATCTCTTTATTTAATCAGAATATTTCTTGAGTGTCTGATATACACTAGACAGACAAGGCAAAGTCATCACTATTAATTGCATTATTTCTGAGATGGATGGAAAACAACCGATAGATATCATGCAGCATCAGAAACAGCAATCATGCAGCAGTACATACCTGGCAGTGGCATGAGCAGTGTATTAAAGGAATGTTGAAGCATTACTTGAGGTCCATCCCACATGCCCACCCAGAAGAAATCTTTCAACTTAGAACAGCCCTGGAATATATAGTGGAAGACAGCCTAAGTCCCAACAGTACCCTGGCGAATTGTGTTTTAAGAAACATATGAAACAAAAGAAAAAGCTTGGAAATCTTCTCAGAAGTTGCAAGAATAAAGCTTAGTTTTTCAATGAACCAAAGAAAGGAAGAAGCCTCTGATCTTAATTTTCCCAACTGTGAGTAATGAGCATGGATGCCTCTGCCTCAATCCTGTATTTCTTTCAACAGAATTCACCCATACACCATACGTTTGATAATATTTGTTAAATCATGCATCTTGTTAAATTTATGAGAAATTCATAAAAGCAAGGGATTATGTGAATTCATTTGTTTAAAATAATGATAACGCATGTCTACCATTTTTAACTTGGCTTAGGAAACTAGGACATGCTAAGGGAGGAGACCAACCCTCATATTGTCTTATGCCCAATTTCTGCCTCCAAAGAAAGAAGAAGTAAAAACTAAAAGGCAGAAATGAAATCCACAAGCAGACAGCCAGGCGCCACACCCTGGGCCTGGTAGTTAAAGATCAACCCCTGACCTAATGGGTTATGTTATCTATAGATTACAGACATTGTATAGAAAAGAACTGTGAAAATCCCTGTCCTGTTTTGTTCCGATCTAATTACTGGTGCATGCAGCCCCCAGTCACGTACCTCCTGCTTGCTCAATCAATCACGACCCTCTTAAGCGGACCCCCTTAGAGTTGTGAGCCCTTAAAAGGGACAGGAATTGCTCACTTGGGGAGCTCGGCTCTTAAGACAGGAGTCTTGCCGATGCTCCCAGTTGAATAAACCTGTTCTTTCTTTAACTCGGTGTCTGAGGGGTTTTGTCTGTGGCTTGTCCTGCTACAATGCTAAGACAAAGTTAGTACTAGAAGGCTCTCTAACAGGGCTCCATCAGCTCTGTTCACAGACAAAATAAGAAGGTGCCACCAAGACCCTGAGATTTTGGATTTGGCCCTCTGGTCTCTATGTAGCCTTTTCTCTTTATTACTTTCTGCCTCTCACATCCAGTGTCCTCTATTAAATCAAGTTTCTCATGACATCTTACTTTATTCTTTACTTGATTCTACTCTGTTTTAATTCCAATTCTATCTAGAACCAACTATAACTTGCCAGCCTAAATCACATTGAACTATAGCACCCTGGATCACTTTGAGTAAAAGTTCATTTTGGGCCCCAGAAAATGTCCACAGACTAACCTTGTTTAGGGTCTTATTTTCTTTGTTAGACCTAAAAATAAAAATTAGTATGGTTGACATTGGAAGGGTATTGAAGTGTTCAGTATAGCAATGTTGGGTATCAGATATGCTTAAGTGGGAATCTGGACTCTGGCACACATAAACTTTTTGAAAATTTAATGCATATTTGTTATATTTGCTTCTCCGGTGATCTGTGTGTCTTGCCTCTAAACACTGGAAGGCTGTTATACTACACTTTCACTCTTTTGGATTCTGGAGTTTTTTCATTGAAAATATTATATCTCACTTCTATCCATGGACCCAGGATAGTCAGAGGGAGAAAGAGAGGAGGAGAAGAAAGAGGGGAAGGAAGAAGAGGAAGAGAGAAAATGCCCTATAATCCCAGCACAAGGATGCATGTTACCACTCAACTTCTACCTATGCAGAGC
Organism: Homo sapiens; assembly: GCF_000001405.40. Taxonomy (NCBI): domain Eukaryota; kingdom Metazoa; phylum Chordata; class Mammalia; order Primates; family Hominidae; genus Homo; species Homo sapiens. The sequence goes on along the minus strand of NC_000008.11, from coordinate 137,460,451 downwards.
ATAAATTCTTGGGGCCACTACATCACTACATTTCTCTTTTTGCTGCTATGAAGTTGAGTTGCAATTACGTCACTTGTTTCCAAATAATTTTGAATAATGCAACAATGTGAGATTAATTTTGCTTGCATTTAAAGGAGTATAATAGTGCCTACCTTCAGAATCATTGTTAAGATGATGTTTCAAAACAAAGCTCATAAAAATGTTTGTGCAATATAAAATGCTGCATGACAATTGCATGTCTTTGTCATTATTTTTGGTTATGGTTTGGATTTTGCTGACTCATCAAATGTGCACAGTCTATGTTGACTTAAATGGGTCATCTGGCTAAGATTTTCCTTATTATTTAAAATAAAAAGGATTTCTTGAAAGCTAAAGAAGCTGACCTATCATCCCCCTTGTCTTTCCCCAAATCCTGATGCTTATTAACTAGGTTGTATTCCATCTGGCTTTTGAAATCAGAAGAAATTGCACAGTTCAGGGTTGCATGCCCATAAACCTATGATTCTCAGCACTAGTTACACTTTATATCATCTATGGAATTAATAAAAAATAAAAATATTCTTAAGATTATATTTTAACATGTCTTGGGTGAATGCCTAGAAATCTGTACTTCTAAGACTCTTTATCTGAGATTCTTATTTATTTATTAATTCCTGAGTATTTGGATGGAGGAGAGAATTATTACTTGAAATATTTTCATTCTCAAAACCTTCTCCATGATTCGCTAGTTAACTGGAACTGTGTCACTTTAAATCTAATCCATGGGTCAGACCCCTGGGTTATAGTCAGCAAAAGCCAGCTAAAGCAATGTCTTTATTTAGTCCTATTATACTTGTTATGCATGGGGTCTTTTGGGAAATGGAAAATTTTATCTTGAAAATTTGAGGCTGTAGACATTTCAGATTATTGTACCAATGGTTGGTAAGGAATATCCCAGAATAAACAAAGGACTTTATTCCCCTCATGGGGAATTTTTAGAGTGGGGTTGAAGGCTTGGATATTTTAGTAGCTTATGCTTTCCAGCAAAGAGATCTTGGTGGTGTGTGTCTGCACATTATAATAGGAGAACCATGAAACAATATCTGTGACTGAAGAGCAGATTTTCTTTCTCTGAGAAGCCATAATGGATTGAGACTTTACCCTTGAGAATAACTAACTAGGAGTAGTGAGTGGGGAGGGGATACAGACATAGTCAGTCAGATGAGACACATCAACCTGGACTCCATGCAGTGAAACAGACAAAGGCTATAATCTTCCTGCAAGAAAGAAAAAAGTTATTACCCTTCTATTTTTTTCCCTTTATCTGAGAAAGACAAAATCTTTCCCTTACACAATCATTTTGTTTTATTAATTTCCCAATGAGCACTTATTTTTGTGCCCATGAGAGTTGGTGGAAAGATGAGGGTTGACCTGAGAAGTCAGGACATCTGAGTGTTACTACAGACTCGGAACATACTCTGTATGCCCCTGAAATATTCATGTTTTGAGTTTTCTGCTTGTGGAGAGTTCATGAGACAGTCCCCACATCTAACATTCTGATTCCATCTAGTTTGCTGGCAAAGCAGTCATTGTCTTATCCATCAATTATTTACATAAAATATTTTCAAATCAATACCTATATAAGCAAAAATCTTCCAATTCTCTGGCCAAAGCCACAAAAAAAGTGGGCAGTATTTGTTTCCCACCGATATCAGGTAATGTTCCTATTAGGTTATAGCTGACAAGGCATGCATTATTAACATTCCAGCTGTGATTACATTTAAGAGGTCCAGGCTCCTTCTCTTGTTAGCTACATAAGGTTGATGTTTGGAGTCCTGGTTTCCAGGTCTATTAAATGAAGGTGTTGCATTTTACTTTTTGTGGGCTGAGTGGATATTAAATAATCAATATATACAAAACTAATTTTCTCTTTTTTTTTCTTCTCCAATTTCCCATTTCAAGTTACTCAAAACGGGCTCTTAAATGTTAGAACTAGTGTCACAGTGGAAAGTTTGAAAATATATGCTTAGACAATATTACTTCATGGCATCAATTATTTCATGTTAGTTGCCTGAATACACCTTAGGCTTTTGGAATACTGGTTATTTTTCAGAATAGGTTTACTGGTGGATTACAAAATCAAATATCCTCTAAATGCAAAGGGTTTTACTGATTGGAAAATATTTTAAGCTTTTTCTCTGCTCTCCAAAATCAGCCTCTTCTACCTGTCATTGTAGAGAAGCAATAAACAGATCATTAGCACTGATGATGTCATAATGGATAATGGAAAAGCATTAATTTTCATAATATCATCATTAATTATAGCTAATATTGAAATGCAATGGGGCTGACTTTATCTTATTAAATGAAGCAAATATTTTGAAGTAATAATTAATAAAAATCAATCTTAGTAAATTAGTGATAGTAAAACTTATTGTTTAAAATTTTTAAGCCTACAAAATAAAGAAAGTTTTGTAGTTCAAGAAGATGTCATTAATATAATTCAGTGCTTTCATTAGCCTTTGGAAACATCACAAGAAAATCCCAAGAAAGCTTTCTCATTTTCCTCAATCTCAATTTTCACCCTCAAAATGGTAATATTAGGGCCTATGTCCTATGTTAGTAGTGGATTAAATGGGATCATTGATGGAAAATCATCCATAATCAGTCAAATTGTGAGTGATTTCTTGTTACTCCAACAGGCAATATAGAACTGGCTGGGGGAAAGGTATGGTATACCTTTCACTTTGCATTTCTGGAACAGTAATCAAAGTTACACAAACAAGCACAAATAGTCAACTTTTATTTAATAATGATGTGTGCTAGGCACTACGTTAAACACTTCAGATAGATTATTGTATGTAATCCTCATAAAACATTTGAGGAAGATATTATGAGGCTCACTTCACCAATGAGAAAATGAATGAAGATTAATGGGGCTAAATTCTTCTCTCAAGGTTACAAAGGCAGAAAGTGATGATTCCAAAGCTAGTTTAACTCCAGAATCCAAATCCTTAAGCACAAGGCTGTTATGTCTCTGAGAGTATCCAGGCAACTTTCCTTTGCTAATTGGTATCATCACAGCTTCTGTTTGACCACTTGACTTTCTGGAATTTTTTTATTTACATCAGCATGTGAGAAGGAAATTAATGAAGAAACTAAGATTGAAGAAATGAATCTTAGTGAACGGTACTTGGAACTTGGCCTGACATAGGTGAAAGGGAGTTGGTGAGAAGAATCCTTATAATTGTGTAGTTTCTAACTGCTTGAGTACCAATTTGAAGCATCATTGTTAGCATCTAAAATACAAAGTCCAGGGAAATATAGGTGTGCCCTTAAAGAATTTATATATTTTTTAGCTAGCCCCAAATAATTAATTTTAGTATTTAATCTTGATTTTTATAAGGAGATAGATTTGAGAAAAATAAATAAAAATAAATGTTAATAGGATGTTCTCCTGTGTTCCCATCACAGGTAGATACATGTCAGTTTTAGCCCTTTCTAACTTCCATGTCAATTCAACTGTTTAATGTCTTATTCTTGACTCTATGATTCTCAAGAACTCTGACTACCACTTATTTTAGAAGTTAGCATAACACAATGGTGAAGGTTCTATCCCATTCTCCAATTACTTTATTTTTCTAAACATCAATATTCTCATATTAAAATGGAGCTAATAATAAAATCTAATTATACAATTCTTAAAGATTAAATGAGTTGGCATACAGTGCCTGACTTATAGAAGCTATTTAGAATTGGAAGACAATTACTATCTGTACGTTTGTAACCAACACCATTCATTTTGAATCAATTAATTTTAATTAACCAATTAATTGATAGGTTACTAACATTCACACCTTTCCATAGATAAAAACACTTTCTTGTGAAATAGAAAACTCCCTATCATTAGTAAAGGAGAGGCTAGATACCCACTTGATGAGCATGTAACAATTACTCTTATACCAGATGATAGTTTGTGAAAGTATAGATTCAGTCTTGCCCAAACCTTAGTGTCTGTGATCCCAGGCGCTGAAAATTAAATTCAGCATCATTCAAGATTCTTTTAGAGAGGTGATTTTATTTTGTCTCTGAAGTAATGAAACAGTATAATATTGATATAATTTACACTTGGGGATCACATTAGCAAGAGGTTTATTTATAAACCCTGGTATATAGATTTAGAAATGCATGTTTTCATGTCCATTGCTTAACGGATCATGTTAGGAGCTATTTCTCAATCTTTCATTTTGCCGAGAAGATGGTTGTGAAAGTAATATTCTCTGCTTAATTATTAATGCAGCATTGATTTGTTTTCTCATAGTCCAAGTGACAAAAAATCCATTAAGAAATATAAGCAGCAAAGTCACAGATAAAACTTACAATTTAACTCAAGAGAAAAAAATATTTAGCTAGATCTAATTAATCTTTCAAATTTAATTTTCTTGCCTTTAAAAAGAAGACTGTAAAGAATGAATTACCATTTTAACAAAACAATAAAAATATTGATGATGCTAATAGCATCTTTTATTTAGGACTTATCATTTGCTATGCAAAGCACTAGACATTTGTATATACCATATAATAATCCATCCAGTATACCTCTTGAGATAGGTTTGATCATGCTTAATTTACAGGTGAAGACAAAAACAGATAACAAATTTCTTTAATTTTCTTTCTTTGTTTTAGAAAGTAACAAAGTAGACCGGACATGGTGGCTCACGCCTGTAATCCCAGTACTTTGGGAGGCCGAGGTGGGCGGATCACCTGAGGTCAGGAGCTCAGACCAGCCTGGCCAACATGGCGAAACCCCGTCTCTACTAATACAAAAATTAGCCAGGTGTGGTGGCAGGCTACTTGGGAGGCTGGGGGAGGAGAATCACTTAACTCGGAGGCAGAGGTTCCAGCGAGCCGAGATTGTGCCACTGCACTCCAGCCTGGACACCAACAGTGAAACTCTGTCTCAAAAAAAAAAAAAAAAGAAAGTAACAAAGTAAAGGTCGTTCAGATTCCAGTGTCTTTGCTCTTTCATTTGCTACTGTGGTTTATGTCATGATCCTTTCCAAATATTACTCCCTTAATATTCCCCTGCTGTCTTCTCTTATGTATCTATCATAATAAGGGTGGTGTGGGCCAAGGTCTGAGGACCCCATTTGAGGTCAGCGGGCTTTACAAGTGCCAAAGTAGCAACAACGCACATTTGTTGAGCCTTCCAATTGGAAACACATAACGTAATAGGGGAAACGAGCTTAAAAGTAACGGAGAGGGTCAGAAAGCTGAAAGTGGAACCACGGTATTTAAGTTTGCTGATCTGTGGCAGAGACTGCTAACATCCCAGCAGAATCCATTCTCTCTCTCCATCATAGGATAATGGTGAGGCCTGGCTGCACTTCATTCCACATCCTTCCTTGTAGATTTGTGTACTCAAGTAACTATTACCTACTCAATGGACTCTGAGCAGAAATGATATGTGCTATTTTGGAGTGAGGATTTTAAGAGTAAGGGTGTGTCCTCCAAGGTTTCTTTTCACTGGCCAGGTGCAGTGAGCAAGTCTCTAGGGGAGGTCAGACAAACATGATGGAAACAGATTGAATTCCTGAAAGCCACTTGCTAATGTAAATATTAGATATGTGCGGTTTGACAGAGGGAAATAAACTTTTATGCTGCTTCCATTTTATCTTAGTAATCAATGTTACTAATTCCTAAGCCATGCTAATAAATGTATGATTCAAAAAGCGAAGCACTAGGAAAGTTAACCAATCTGTTCTCCTTTTTTTTTTCAACTTCTACACTCTGATCCTTTTGTAAGTATTGTGATTTATTTTTCCCTTCTGTGTTGTATCTTGTTGGTGACTTTCCCTTTACACAGATGGTGTGAATCACACATAATTGAATGTCACTGTGCGATTTCTATTAATACATACTAGTTGTTTTATAATGTAAGTAACCTCACTGCGATAGGCAGAATGATGGGCCCAAAGGGGTCCGTGTCCTAATCTCAGGAATTTATGAATATGGCATGTTACATAGGAAGAGGAAATTAAGGTTGCAGATGTTAATTATGATTGGTAATCTGCTGGCCTTCAGATGAGATCATTTTGCAATATCTAGATGGGTTCTGTGTAATCACCAGGGTCTTTAGAAGTGGAAGAAGGGGGCAAAAGAGTGAGGATCAAAGTGAGAGAGATTTGAAAATACAAAACCACTGGCTTTGATGATAGAGAAAGGGATCATGTACCTCAAGAATCTGGAAAAGATGAGAAATAGACTCTCCCCTGGAGGCTGTAGAAGAAACACAGCCCTGCTGACGTCTTGATTTTAGCCCAGCAAGACCCATTTTGAACAACTGACCTCCAAAACTGAAAGGTAAGGAATCTGTGTTTCTTTAAAGCACTAATTGTATAGTAATGTTTTACAACAACAGGAAACTCTTAATATATAATCATTCAACTAAATTAGAAGTTATTTGGACAAAACCAAAGATACCTCTTAACTGTATCATCCTTGGCACCTAGAATATTACAAGACACACATTAGACACTCAGTTTGTGGCCAACCAAAAAATACAATATCCAACATGACCATCAGAAATGGTCATCGGAAAACAAGGCAGATATGTTTTCTTACCAAATTTCTCCCAGCTGCAGGAGCATAGCTTGTGACAAACAGTGTAGAAATATGGAATTCTCGTAGTTTTTCTAGGTAGTAGTTTCGGTAGGTGCATGTGCAAACCAAACTAAACAGGACCCTTGAAGGGAACCTTGTCATATGCAATCAAAATATATCCAAGGGTTCCAGCCAAATGTAGTAATAAATACCAATGGACAGGTCTGGGACAATTTGAGGGAAATGTGTCAGTTGGATAATACAGAAAATTAGCTACAGGGCTTATTGTGGCTACTTTTATTAATATATCCACCGAGGTCACAAATGATGCCAAACAAAAGTAGGCAAGTATGATTGAGAGAAAATGCAAAATAGGGGATGTTGGAGGGAGACAGAGATTTATTGCAACATCTATTGCATTTTTACAGATATCATTAAAAGGGACAAGTTCCTACTCATACAACTTTTTAGCTCTTGTGTTCTTTTCTCCCTGAAAATAATGTAGAAGTGGCTTACATTTTATTATTGTTATTAATATTACATGGAACAGTTACTGCAGTACTAATAAAAAGTAATATTTTGTGCTTATAATCACTCTTTTTAGGAGAAGAATAAGCCTCTCTTAAAAGTCCAGAGTAAAGCATTTGCATCTTCATTTTATGGGTATAATTAGCACATTTGTCCGTGCTGTCACCAATGATAATCAACATAATAATAACTCCTTATGTTTATGTAGCCATATACAATTTACCAAGCATTTTCCCATCCTTTATAATGTTATATCCACCATATCTCTGGATTTTGTTAATGATTCTTAGGGGAAAGCAAGACAGGAAGAAATGTCCCCACATTTATTATTGTTTTAAGAGAGGAAAGTAAAGATTCAGAGAGGGGCACAGCTAGGTCTGTGATGATGTTTCTAGTCTCTTAGACTATGAGGTTCTGAGTTGGGCAAAGCCATGTCCAGGTCACGTTTCTGAAAACAGTTCCATTCTTGATGCTGTTCTACCTGTCTTTTATTGCAATTTTATACATATTGCTTGCTTTCCTACTTTTCCATGACCAGATACATCTATGGTGTAACTTGAAGTACAATCCAAATATTAGTGAAAACCCTCTCTTCATTTACTTAAATAAAAATGGATGTAAATCCTTCATATGACTCTCTCCTATGTAAGTTAGTCTCAAACCAAGGGCGTTTTCTAGAGACATGCTTAGCTGTTATTACAGTGTGATGTAAATAATAGAGTTTTGAAATCTCTGCTAGCTCCTTGGAGTCATTATCTTATATTGTGTAGACTATTTTGAAAGCAGAAACTTATAGAAAGAGTATGGAATTGGATAGATATGATTGGGAATTTAGGTTTTACCTTTAACTATTAAGTTGAACGTACATAATTTCCCTGAATAGTATTAATTAAAAAGGTGTTAATGACACCACTTTATCTTCCAATTGTGAAGAAAACCAGTAAATTCAATATCAGAAAAGTTTAATTAAATGTACCTATTATAGGATTATTATTATATTGTTTTTCCCTCAAATAGCAGTTCAATAATCTCAAACTTTTTAGTTGTGTGGTCAAGTGTGCAGAAATAGATGGCCATTGGTCTCTACAAATGGCCATTGGTCTCTACATTCTAAGCATTCTCATTATTTGACTCTGTCTCTATATGGCCTTGGGAATATTGGGAGATGCTTTGTCTCTTTGGAAGTTAGACATCCAATGTTTGCTCAGTTGCTCCTAAAGGTCCCATTTAACCATGACTTTGCCTCTACATGGCATTTCACAACTCAGGAAAGAACACAGGTGGTATCTCACTCTAGACAAGTGCTTTCAGGTTGATATATGCATCAGTTACGTCAACACAGACCCAGAACCAGCCATGACTGATAATTTAAAAAATAATAAGCATGTGAATCTAGGCAAGGGTTACAGCCAACAAGTCAGAATTCTGCATAAAGAACAAGGGATGAGTCAGCATTCGAGGAGAAACAGCAAATGAACTGAAACCTGACTTACTCATATAGAAGAATCTCCTCCATCCTTTCTGCCATCACTGAAATTTGTACCTAGTTCTATCATGGACTCCACTCACTTGTGTTTTTCATATCTGGCCTTATCTTCCTTCTGGACAGAGAGTGTGAGTTTTGCCTTATTTGGTTTGATTTTTACTTTGCTTAGTGCCTGACACTTTGTAGGTATTCATTACACACTTTCTGGGTTGGACTAGAATGGGGAACCAGGACACTGATATCCTGATACGTTATAATTACATAAAACAAACAATCAAATATTGGCCAAGCTTCCATTTGACTTATTCCATCTTTTCGTTTTTGCCTCAATTACACATGATTTATGAATGATAGCTATTTGTTAAACTTATGAGCCAGATACCCTGACTAAAATTATGTCATCTAATAGCTTTGTATGATAATATATCAAAGAAAATACCTCTCTCTCTTACACACACACTCAGATGAAGAAATTGAGGATCAGAGATGGTAAATAACCACCTTAAAGTCACGCAGCTGATGTGGATAGTTTCATTCCAATATTGGTGGACTCTTTCTAGGTAGCATGAATGAGTTGCTATATCCCAGATGCAGTGCGTTTTCTGACACTTAGGTGCTGGGTGCATTTACAGAGGGAACATAGGGACAGCAGGTGGAATCAGATGCTTGGAGAAGTCATTTCATTTCCCAGCTTCAGTGCCCACTGGATTTTTCTAATCACAGTTAGGACTATGTAAGAAAACAAAGAAGGAAAATCAGCAGTATGAACACAGCCAGGAGTTCACCTCACTGCTTATAAACCTTAATTAAACCTAATTTGTAAATCTTAATTAAATCACATGTACAGGCATTAATAAAGCAGTATAAAAACATTGCTCTCCCAGTAAGACAACACACTAATACTACATACATATTCCTGGAAAATGTTCTCATGTGGGCCTCATCAAAGCATAACAGGGAAGTAGATAAACAATCTCATTAATTGCAATCGAAGGACAAAAAGTACAAACCGGTTGCCTAGAGAAATCGACTTTGCCAGATTTCCTCACAAACAGATATGGTGCTAATGAAGTGACAGTGTGAAACAAGTGAACATCTGAAGAATTCAAAAACTCAGTTGGAATGTCAAGAGAAGGACACAAATGGGGAAAACAAAAGTCATTTCGTGCAGAAGTCAGTTCTTCCAAGATTACTCTTAAATTCATTCGTTCCTTTAGTCAACACACGTACATTGAACACCTACACTACAAGCTGGCCTCTGGTCTTAGAAATGAAGATTTAACATAAGTTAGATGTGCTTCTTGATAAGAGGGTAGATAACTCAGATTTAGGGACTATTTGGGGTCAGCCACTTTTATAATGTTTCTTACTCCATGTCCTTTCCAAAAATCCATGACAACTTAAAAGTTAAATGTTACTAATAAAACTTAACAGATAAAAACATTTGAGGTAGGTGTTGATCATGGTCACATAATTCATAAGTAATTGGGCAAGTAAGGACTTAAAGAGCCCTCTGACTCCCAAGGCCATGCATATTACAAAACATACCTATAGACCACTAGGATAGGCAGACTTGTTTGCAGATATTGGACTCTTGTCCCTTCTTCACCTGAGCACAAGAGACTACCTTCTTAAGAAATGAGTTCTCAGCCTTGATTAAATTCTCTAATTGGATTGCTGGCACTACCAGACATCAACTCTTAATCTAGGGGCCATGTGGATCTCTCTTCTTCTCAGTGTCTCTTTCATCTGAATTCCACAAGACAGCTACTGTCTTCCTCATTCTTGTTGACACTTCCCTTTGAGTCCTTCTGGTCTACCCACTATCCTTTTTCTAACAGTGGTTTCACGATCCTGAAGCTGGAGCATGACTTGCCCCATTCAGAGTCTGCAATAATTTGGATCTTGCCTATCTTCGATCTTCAACTCTAGAGCTAATCCACGCATGCCACTTAGCAGGTGTGTCTGTCTCCGTTCATGCCATTTTCTATGCTTTGCTTTGAATGTCCTTCTCTCACCTCAGGGGACTCCCAACTTATCATTCAATACTGGGTTCAGGTGACACAACTATGGGTCCTTTTTTGTTTTTTTTTTTTTTGCTAAAAAAGAGAAAACCTCTTGGGTTTGCACTTGGTCAAGTTATCCATTAATAAATACCGTTCCTGTTTCTATGTTTGTGTTTTTACCGTATAGCCAGTGTCTGAACAGAAAGATTCATCATTTTGATCTTGGTATCTCCAGCATAGGGCATGGGAAACCATTTCTATTGAAAGTACGAATAAAACTTAAAAGGTCTGTCACAGCCTGCATGCAATTCATGCAGCTATTTCTCCAGTGCCCACACTTGCCTGAAAGAGTAGAGGCGGAGGCCAGACCTTCCTGATCATAAACAGAGAACATGACAGAGGCACCGCTCAGGACATAAGTTCATGTGACCTATGTGGATGGTCTTCTACAAAATAAAAATGAAAAAGAGAAGCCTTGTTTACACAGGATGTCCTTTTGCCCTTCAGGTGGCAAAATGCTCATTTTCCTTCTGTCTGTCACAGCTCTGATCAGAGTTCACAAGGCCTGATACCAACTCCACTTTCATCTACTGTAGTGCATCTATAGCCTCCTAAATGATCACTCATGCTGAGTCATGCCTCCCTTCAATCTATTTTCCTAAGAGTTCTTCAAAGAGTCTCAAAAGCAACCAAGCAGGCAAACAAATAGACACAAACAACATCTAATTACATTACTTCCACAGATGAAATAATCTAATGTCATCTTGGTTAATGCCATAAATCCTTTATATTCCTTGTAAAGCTTTTCATGGTGCAGCCCCTGCTGACCTCCCAAGCCTTCCTCCATCCTCTTTATCAACATCGCACAATTCTAGCCAGACATTAGTGTGTTGTGTTCTCTAAACAATAAGTCATCTGTAGCATTAGCCTTAAAAAAAATTTATCAACTCTATTGGTAACATCGTTTGTTGATTTGTAAAAAAAATTAAGCAGAAAGCACAGTTCCCTGGTACTCCTTCTCCTGACACCTTAGCCCCCATCAAGTTTCCCCTATTACTGATATTTTACATTTGTGTAGTGCATTACAACTGATGACCTGACATTGATACACTATTGTTAGCTGAAATCCATAGTTTGTCTGAAAGTTCACTTTCTTGTGTTGTATCATTCTATGAATTGTTCTCATGTATTGCCCGATTTGTGTAGAAGGCACTGGTACCTGTTCTTTATTCAGCTCAGTCATCCTGCAGGTTTCAACTTAGATGTCACCACTTCCAGAAAGCCTTCCTTGATACCTAATACTGCTCTCAGGTCACATGGCTCACGAGTAAAGGGTTAGTCCTATTTTAAATAGGTGCTTTTTCTATGTGCTCCAGATATTATCTTAAATTACCTTTCTTTCAGCACTTATATCCTCGTATTTTAATACCATGCTTACTTGGCTGCCATGGTCTTAAGGGCAGGGGATATATCTTGCTGATTCTTGTATTTCCCAGTAGCTAATAGGTTAACTGGCAAATAAGACATAATCAATGCATTTTGTTTTGTTGACTAGGTAAATGTGATCTTTCATTTATTCCCAGGACATGCTTAGATTCCTTAAACAAGTGGAATTACATTTTGTCACTGAGATTTATATCAACAAGCTTCCTAGATAAGGACCGAATTAAAATCTTCAGCTAACATATCTACAGAATGACCCATGCCCTCCCTAACTGCTACCTGGTCCCAGGGTTACTAGTAGCTGTACCCAGGTAAAAAAAACAAGAAAACAAAAAATTTGACCTAAATCTTATTTACAAGGGAAAACATTATTTTTCTTTACCTTACTTGATTGTTGTGAGATGAGTATCAGAGGAACAAAGTGTGTACTGTAAAATGCCTCCACAAATGACAGTGCATAGAGATGTCCTACATCTTCCCTTCCAACTCTCCTTTGGAAGGAACAGAAACCATCTGGTGTAGGCATCCTCACCTCCATTTACTCTTGGCCTATGTATGACCCACAACTTGGCAGGAAACAGTAAAAGAGGCCAACCATATCTTTTCTCTAGTTACTTTAAAACACATTTAATGTCTTTTGTCATTTTCAGTGATCTGAGAGTACAAAATTGAAGATGCCTCTGGAATATGAAACTTACTCTTGAGATGTGAAATATATTTATCTTAAAATTAATTACCATTGAAGAGAGAAGATATTAGACTTCAAAATATTAACTTACCATCCAGGAGTGCATTACATTTGTCCTAGTTTTTAGGAACTATTGTATCTTAAAGACTGATGCCTTGAATAAATTTGTAGAAGAGACAAATGTGAAAATGCAACACAAGTTGTAGCTGAGCGCACGCAAAGGAAACCTGTGTGTAAATCCAACTGGGATGGGAGAGACAAGGTCCAAAGGAGAGAAGAGATCTGTAGATGGCAAGAAGAGCATAAAGCAACAGGTATGCCAAGCAAAAGAATTGTATGCCGGAGATAGTATCCAACATATAATTATCAAATTAATTAATGAACCAAAGGAGTTCAGCTAGTTCAATAAGCTCCCATATTTAATTTTTATCATGCATTCAACACTTACTTTGAGCCATCAATAAGCGAAGCCTCAGCATGCATTATTTCTTTATTTTCTATGTCCTACCTTATTATCTTCAATTTAGTGAAGAAGAAATTGTTGTTCACAACTATTAACTAATCTTTTGAATATATATACCGAGTAAGTCAAATATTCAGAAAGCCAGTCCCATCTGTCTGATTCTCATCCATGTTCCTAACCACAGCTTTGGAGCCTATGATAATAATATTTTCTATGATGGAATACTTGTTCTAAGTATTCAGAGTTACTAATTCTAAACCATGACACATGCTGGCATTGTGGGATTATTGTCCAATCTACATTCTATGTCTCATTCTTTTCTTTAATAATGGCCAGATAATCAGTGTTTCTATTCTCACCACTGGGTACTCAGGACCACCTGTCACTATGACCTTGTATTCTGAACCAGGGATCAGTAAACATTTTTGCAAGGAGTCAAATAGTAAATATTTAGGCTTTGGAGGCCATACAGTCTTGGGTCAAAAATACTCAGCTCTTCACTAAAGCTGCCGCACATAATATGTAAATGAATGAAAGTGACTATGTTCCACTATAAACTGATATGTAAAGATAGGCAGTAGGTTGAATTTGGCCTGAGGAATGAAATGTCACAATTCTATTCCATTTCTTTCAAGGGAGTCTCTTCCTCTTATTTTAGCCACAGCCCAAAGATACCATACAATGCTATTTATATGTATCTATATTATTTATGATTGGTAATAGGTTTTCAGAAAATACTTTAATCCTTCTATACCTGATATTTTGTTTCATTAAAAGAGAGAAGTACCTTTCCTAAACCATTACATTGATTTCAGAATCTACTAATAGACTATAATTCATAGATTGAAAAGTGCAAAATATTTTGAAGTTAAAAAAATAAGAATTGATTTCTAGAAAATCTTTGTGGAAGATCCTAAGTTACATAAAGGAACAAGAAGTAAGAGGGGGCAGAATCTTGGATCTGGATGTGCCCTTATAGTTCCTGACACAATTGCTTTTTCTTTGAATAATAGATTGAACAAATTAAAACATCTTTCTTTTTAAAGGTAAGATATTATAACACACAGTTCAAATAAATTTATCTTTTCTGGTGGGATTTTAGGTTTCAATATTGTTAAGCAGATAGCTCTTATTAAAAAACCTTCCTAGGATCTACAAATCTGATTCTTTCAAAATATATTTGTGCAGTTTGCTCTGTTTTGAGTCTTCTAATTCTAAAAGTCACTCACTTTTCACCTCAAGCAACATTTCCCACTTGAAAACTACCAGCAGAGAATGAGATATTAATTCTCAGTACGCCATCCATGCATAGGGAATACCACATTCAGCAAATAAAACTATAGGTTGCCAACCTCACGTTTAATTTCAGGTAAATCGCCAGTAATAGCATATTGTAAGTATATTCTTTGCATTGTCTGTGCCACATTCATACTGAAAATCCATTCTTTAGCTAAATTCAAATTTAGTTGGATATCTGCATTTTGTCTGAAAAGCCTATCCATAAAGCTATTCTGCATAGGAAGATAAAAGTGAGAACCTTGAAATGTACAGGAAGATTTTCAATATTCCCAGCAAAAAAATGAAACTCTCCCATGGTGCCATGTTGTCCAATGCTCTGATTCTGTTTTTAGGTCTTTTTTTCCAGTTTTATTGAGGTATAAGTGACAAATTTAAAAATGCATCTATTCAAGATGTACAACATGATTATCTAATATATGTATAAAATATTAACATATTTAATATATGTATACATTGTTAAATGATTACCAAAATCAAATTAACACTGTGTTAAATTAACACAAATTACTGTGTGTGTGTGTGTGTGTGTGTTTCAGGTAAACAATACAGTATTATTATCTATAGTTACTATGCTATTCATTAGACCCCTAGAACTTAGTTTACTTATAACTGACAGTTTGTACTTTATAACAAACATCTCCATTTTCCCCATATCTCAGGTACTGGCAATCACCATTCTATTTTCTGCTTCTATGAGTTTGATATTTTTAGATTCCACATATATGTGAGATTGGGTAGCATCTGTCTTCTAAGCCAGGCTTATTTCACTTAGCATCATATCTTCCAGGTTCTTCTATGTGGTTACAATCACAAGAATCCTTTTTATTTTTGAGTTTTGATGAACTTACTGAAACAAAATCCTCATTTCTATGAAGCCCATGGGGTGTACATAAAAATGATGGTGATTATTTTTGTTCTCCATTCTTTTTCTTTGTCCTAAATCTAACTCTACTATGAAATCTGCATGTTAAAAATGATTTTTCTATGGGAAGATGTTTGGGTTCAAGGTGTGGAGGGACTATGGTTTTTAAGAGGAAAATCATTAACAAAGCTGAAGAATTGTAGGCTGACATTAGTCGCTTATTAGTGTCACTGCATTCAGTTTAGATCTCTAGATCCTTCACAGGAAAGCCCTTAATAAGCAACCTTCCTACTTCCTTCTTGGTCCATTAATTTGAACCATAATCTTATCCATTCCAGCATTGGGCTTTTATCATGCACTGTCTAGATGAGCTATTCAGGCAATAAATCCAATAAAGTCATTTTCCAAAGTGTAGAGATTTCTCCCACGAAACACAGAATCTTGCAGTTAAGATGTACCTGACGCTGTTGAAGTTAGATATTGAAAGAAACATGGATCTTATTTTTAGCTTTTCTGATGATTATTTGAATTCACTGAAAAAAATAAAGAATGGTTTGAGGTGTATTGCTTCTCCCAGGGGATGTGGGTTTTGAGAAATTACACTCATTTTTTGCCTTTTGTCCTACTTTGTTTGACCATAAACTGAGTGACTTATAGACAACAAACATTTATTTCTCACAGTTCAAGAGGCTAAGAAACATCCAAGGTTATGGCACCAGCAGGTGCCACATCTGGTGAAGGCATGGCTCCTCACGGATAGCTGTGTTCTCTCTGTAACCTCACATGATGGAAGCGACGAAGGGTCTCTCTCTGGCTTCTTTTATGTTTCTATTCATGAGAGCAGTGTCCTTATCATCTCCCAAAGACGCCATGTCCTAATATCATCACGTGGGCATGAGGATGTTAATATATACATTTGAAAGGGAGGTCACGTGCCTGGAAACCACTGCACCCTTATTATATTTAAAAACAATGTCATGTTGCTTCTGATTAATGCTTCTCAATTTGGAAGGCAATCAAATAACCATATCTAATCGGAGCATCAAAACAATTCCTTGGCCAATTTCTTTCTCTAATTGCTCTAGATGGACTGAGACTAGGAGTCATTTTATTTGGATTTACCTAAGACCATACCACTTTCTGTGACATGATATTTCTATTGTATGTGAAGCCACACAAATTAACAAATTATATTTTTATATTGCAATCATTTTAATTTAATTTATCACATTTCAACATTTTTACCCAAGTTCACTGTAAAAAAAATGAGTCAGATTCTAATTAGTGCCATTGCTGAGAAAACTGGGAGAAATAAAATTAGTAAGAGATACCTTTCATTGAATGTCTACTGTAACCCTATAAGTTATAAAATATCTCCATTTTACTGATGAGGAAAAGGAAGTCATTCAGCTTATCAGTAAAAGAGTGGGATTAGAGTCACATTCTGGTGGCCTCCAAAGCCTGTGTCCTCCTCTGGGGCTTTGTTTTCAACGTGCTTTGCAGCAAATATTGCTGAGATTCTTCTCTGGGCCAGAATGTATCTGGACTTTGGTAAAAGCAATTGGCATGTTTCTTCTTACCATAGAACCCTCATTTAGTATGAAAAACATGATATTAACAAAAAAAGACACATACATAAAACAAGTATAAATTATAATAAGTGCAATGAAGCACATGTCTTGATTTCAGGTGAAGGGTGTCTGGCGAATGGGGAGGGGGATTGCTGTCTGTCTGCACAGTACCTTCAAGGGAAGCGCCTCTAAAGTTGAACCTGATACCTGCAAGATGAAAAGATGTTTGTTATATAAAAAGCATAACATGAGAGATTTCAGGGAGAAATGTAAATACTTTGAAGCAAGAAAGAAAATAGAATTTTTGAAGGACTGAAAAAGGGCATAAAAAAGCTACAGTGCAGATGAGCAGGAAAAAATGGTGCAAATTGGGGGTGGAGGGTAAGAAATAGAAACTGAATTAGGCTGAGCTTATAGGTCACAGCCAGAGCTGCTGAACATGTTCTAACTCAACAGGAGCTCATCGGAGAGTTTGAAGCAGAGGTGTGACGTATACTGGAATGCGGCAAAATCTCTTTGGTTTTGGATTATAAATTTAAGAAAATAATCTGAGTTTCACTACATTTAGTAGAATCTGCTCATTAGAAAACATTTGTTCATTTCCTTGGACAGGTAACGGCCGTGGAGGAAATGAGGACAAGGCAAACCACCATCCATATGAAGAAAGGCAAGCTTATTTCACAAAGTTGTAACGTTAAGGGGTCAAGGAAAATAGTATAGTTGTCCTGATACAATTTAAGGGCATTTCTATAAAGAAAGCTAGGTTCTACCAGTTTTTATTAGTTCAAGGAAAGATTTCAGAAAATCCAAGGATGTAATTGAATTAGTATTTTCAGGATGCAAAAAGTAATTTACATGTATATGTTTACCAAAAAGTTAAAAAGACTGTTAAAAGTATTAGTTTTCCCAAATAAGGAAAGTTCCTTATCCTTACATAATTTCTTTAACTCTTCTAACCCAAAGCTCATTTACAAGCTCCCTGGTGTCTGGACCAGAGATAGGTATAGGTAAACTATCTGAACAGTGATAGGAAGACATGGCCCTCTAGAACCCAGGAGGAGTAACCCCAAGATTGATTCAGAGGACTTGCCATGCTTAGTATTCTCACCTGCTGTGGCTCTCAGTGGTGCTGGGGTCACCTCATCTCACAGCTTGAGCAGCTGTAATAAGGACAGGAGAAAGGGAAATACTGGGTAGAAGAGGGCAGTTCCCAGCAAAGGCCCCACCACAAGCCTGGAACCCCACGACCATAAATGGAAACAGGCATTCCTGTTTTTGCACCCAAATGTTGCTTCTGGCCCACCACATCCCCCTATCCTGTACTCATGTAAACCCCAAGACCCAGGCTTCACAAGGAGATGAGAGGACTAACAGAAGGGCAGAAGAATGGCAGAATGGTGTGGCAGAGAGAACAGAGGAGCATCTCTATGCCCAGAGCAGTTCATCTGGGGATGGTCAGAGAGGAGGTTGGCAACTAGAATTGGCAAACTCCAGGAGAATATAATCTTCCCACTCTATCCCCCTTCCAGCTTCCCATCCATCCTGCTGAGATGGATGGATCCAGCTTCCCATCCCTCCACCACTCAATGAAATCCCACATTCATCCTTCAAGTCTGTGTGCAATGTGATTCTTCCTGGATGCCAGACAAGGACCTGGGTACCAAAAGGGCACTGAGCTGGCTAACACTTAAGCAGTCCGTGGATGGCAAGGCTAAAAGAGCATACTGTAACAAGCACCCACTTGGGCTTCAGGAGTCACAAGCTCTCACACCTGGACGCTGCCATGGGGCTAGAGCCCAGGGATGCTCACCCTGCCTCCTGCACCTGCCCGTCTACATGCTCCCCTTCTTTTAAAGGGTTTGAGTGTCTATGGTGGCCAAACAGATGAGTCACACCCCATCACATGTCCTGCGAGGGGGGTCAGAGAACTCTCCAGTTTCAGCTGTTGTTTTCTTAGGGCAGAGAAAGGAAAGTCCATTCGGTGACTGTTTCACCAAGGGTGAAGCTGAGTTATGGAGCCTAGTTAGTTGTCCCACCCTCTCCACAGGGCAACACAACCACAAGCCAGCATGTTCTCCTCATCTTTGAAGTAAAGCTTAAAAGGAAGCATCCCTCAGGATGCCTAATGCTTGTCTTTTTCCACCTAAATTATATAATTAAGTCCAAAGTTGTACCATAGTAATCTAGGTATCCTGACAGCTGAGACTATTGTGAAAGGTAATTGCTTCTTCTGACAACTTCTCCTAGTCTGAGTTCCTGAGGTCTGAGTTGCTCTGGGCAGAAGCCTGGGTCACAGAAGACATGGCTTCCTACATTTCCTCTAAGATGGAAATCCTGTATCCAAAGAAAGCAAACCTAAGGTAAAATGTGCATAGACTCGTTCATCAAATGTTTGAAATTAAACTGTCAAAGTGAAGAAACTGAAAAGGAAAAAAAAATATCTTGAGAGAATCTGGCAATACAAAAGTCAACACCCAATTCAACAAGCCAAGACCAGAAACAGACAGAAGCACAGCATGAAGACACATGTATCCTCTGTGGGAGCCTGGGATTTGAAGCCAGGAATAAATGTGCAAATCTGAATTCTGTCTCTTCTTAGATCTGTTTCCCTGAAAAGGATACTGTACTCTGTAACCCTCACTTCCACCCCTGTAATTCAATTTTCTAGCATCAAGTGAGTACTTAATCTTGAAATCACTCTTCAAAGTATTTTACATGTGTTTTCTTATTTAAAGTTTATAACCAATCTACTTAATCATTATTACTTTATCTCAAATTTGCATATAAGACATTTGAAAACAGAGATACCAAGTTTATTGCTAAAGGTCACATGGTCACTGAATGGTGAATTCAGGACTCAGATTCAGACCTCTGATTCCAGAGCCCAGTTTCTTAACATACCTCTGGATGAAACAGTGAAAAAAGGCAAATAATAAATGATAGTAGTAGTCACTGCTGCTAAAAAATACTGTTTCCTCATTTTTAGAAATTAAATGTTGGTATTTATTAAAATATTTTTCATGTTTTAATTATATTTATGTTTTCTATTATACACTTGAGCATATAGAGCATATTTATAGTAGTATTTTCCATAAACCTCATCATCTCTGCTTTCTGGGTCACCTTTTCTTCATTCTTTTACTACCTAGTAACTTTTAATTGGATGTAGGGCATTGTACATTTTACGTTGTGAAGCATTTTATTGCATTATTTAAAAATTCTTGAACTTTTACTGGCAGGAGGTCAAGTTACTTGTGTATTAGTTAAATCCTTTTGAGTTTTGCTTTTGAGCTGTTTTAGGGAAAATCAAAATTAGCCTTTATTCTAGAGCTTTATGAGCCCCACTAAGGAGGTTATGTTGGCTCGCTACTGAAAGTCCTATGGATTCAACAGGGTGTCTCTTCTCTAGGTGAGAGAAATTCAAATCATTTCCAGTCTTGTGTGAACCTTGGGTTTTGTGCATCTTAGAGCTCACTGTATTCCATGTGAATTGTGTAATCAAGTACTAAATTATTGCTCTTCGGCAATTGTTTTTTTCTTTGGAATTTGTTCTCGTTCATCTTTATGGGTTTGTTTTCTTTCTGTGCAGGGACAGATTAGTGTTTAGACAAAGACTTCAGAGTTATTTGCAGAATCAACAGGTTTTAGCTGTCCTGGTCTCCTCAAACTTCCATCTTTGACTTCAACTCAGCAAGGTGGGTGGAGTCTGTTTGGGTTTTCCTTCTGTGCTGGAATTTGTAGATTACCTCTGGGTCCAGAAAGCAGGGGTGCTGTTTGGGCCCTCCATTCTTGTTTTGCTTTCCCAGACAAGACAGTCTTGTGTTGCTTGCTGTCTAATGTCACACACACACAAAAGGTGGTTTCTTGTATTTTGTCCTATTTTCTATTTGTGCTTGACAAGAGTGAAAATCCAGACTATTTTACTCTTTCTTAGGTGGAAGCAGAAACCCACTAATATTATTACAAATTTCTCATGAAACAGTACTTGGAATATCTTTCTAGAGTATGTTAAACCCCTTAGACAAATGGAGGGTAAGAAGAAATAGTAGAGGTACTGACCCAGTCTGGAGAGGTTAAAGTAGAAAAGGAAGACTTCTTGGAAGAAGTGGGGCCTGAGCTGGGTCTCAAAAGCCAGATGAGTTTTCAGATATAAACATTCCTTTAGTGCCATTGGCAAGGCAAGTTTAAAGAGAGCATAAATGAATGATTGAAATTGCTTGACTTAATGAAGCCTTAATAATAACCCTAATTCAGTTTATTAAGCATCTATCACTCATAGATGAATAGCTAATGCCTTTTCTAATAAAACAGTCATAATAAAATAAAGGAAGCCATAGCATATATTATTTTTATTCTTTTAATCACGTACTTTCTAAGTGGGGATACTGAAGCCATTGGAATAGCTCTACAAAATGCACTTTTTCTTTTTTTAATTTCAAAATTTAATTTACTTGATGATACATCAGGAACAATTAGGTGCTGTTTTCTTGTTCTACTGATAATTAAATGAAAAAAGATTCCAATTTCAACTCCATATATTATGCTCTGGAAAGTGACTCTTCTTATCATTGGAGAAAACTAAGCAAATGAACTGGATTTTAATGGCCCCACCTAAAAACAACAACAACAACAACAAAAAACTTCTTTCTTTTGGGAGCCCTCGGATTCGGATGCCTTCATCCATGAGTTCAGCCTAATAAAATAATTACCTCTGTCCATCAATGGATATAGATGACCCTTCTTCCAGTTCTACTTACAAGAGTTAAGACATAGTGGCATTTTCAAAAAGAAATGCTGACAGAACAAAAGATGATGTTATCCCAGGAAATTCAAATGATACTAACTCATTTAATTTCCCAAATAGTAGCTTTCATATCCTACTATAGCTGAGTATCTGTCAGTCCTTGAAATGTAACACTGCTCACAGCATCCTACCTCACTATCCTGTCTTGCTTTTTTGGTAACTCTAAGACTGCCTCCACATGGCTGCTGCAATCAAGCATCTGCTCAGTCACTTAAAAACGGCGCCTTAGAAGCCTGGCCAACTTAGGTTCAAGACTAAAAGAGGTAAGGAAATTAAATTTACAGACCACCTGTAACACACCAGGTATTGTGCCATTTTAAAATACAGTATCCCATTTAGTCCATAACTAAACTCTGAGGGGCTATCTCCATGTTATTGTTGATCAGTGAAATAAAGCAAATTGCCTAAAACTATATAATTACTGAATAGCAGAGGCCAGGTGTGGTGGCTTGCACCTGTAATCCCAACTACTCAGGAGACTGAGGCAGGAGAATCGCTTGAACCTGGGAGGCAGGGGTTGCAGTGAGCGGAGATCGCACCACCGCACTCCAGCCTGGGTGACAGGGAGAGATTCCACCTTTAAAAAAAAAAATAGAATGGCAGAACTAGGTTACCGTTTTACCTGATTCACAGGTACCCTCATACACACATGCTCTGCCCAAGGTGTAGGCACTAAACCACATTCCTGCCTCAGCATCCCTCCAGTTTCTCTTTAGTTTTTCCTAGACTGAATGTGCCAATTCTTCTCTCACTTATTTCACAAACATTGATTGAGCTCCTACTACAGATTATGTCTGAGGCTACACACCTCAAGATGCCTTGCAATCAATTCCAGCTTCTGTACTTCAAAATATCACCAACTAGTAGAAAATGCGGGAACGGAAGTAATGAGTTAGTGATTTACCCTAGGGCATAAGAAATGTAAATATTTTGGGAGAAGAAAGTAGAAAACCTGCCCAGCCTGATTCAGGTGTGTGTGATGGTGGAGACAGATAGACCTCTATGAAAATTGTTGGCAGCATACCTTAAATTAAAAAAAAAGAGTTTTCCAGACAAGTAGAAAGGGGGAGGGTCTCCAAACAAGATTTATCCATCATGGAGGAAAGATAAACACTGCTAATTCAGAAACTGCCTTTGAGTGGAGGTCAATGATTAGATCCGATTTAAAAAGGTGAAAGTCTGTAGTGGGATGGGGCTAAGAAAGGAAGAGGGTTGGGATGGTTTCTGTTTTTTGCTCCATCTGGAATGCTTTCTTTCTTCCCGAGCAATTTGTCCGACTGGCAAGTTTCAACTCAAGTTTCCAGGATCATGTGAAAACCAATAATTCACTTATTTACCCATGTTTCTAATACATGTTATAAATGCCTCTGTTTTTGCCTTTATCACCCAGTACAATAATTGTGTGCCTGTCCACCAGCCCCTGGAGACTGTGAGCTTTCTAGGAAAAGAAGGGTTGTGTCCTACTTAGCTCTTACTTCCAGTACTTAGAGTAGTGGTAGTGCTAGGCAGAGGATGAGCATTTGACGGCCGTTTGCTCAATGTCCTAGTAAATGAATGCAGTGAGAGAAACACAGTGATATGCTCCAATTTTTCTTTCATACCTACATAATTTTTTCATATATTTACAGGCTACTAATGTAAATAACGACACTTTTCCCTACACCACACTTTCACCCTATCTTCCCCTATAGTAAGTTTTTTTTATAACATTTGTCCCTTAGTGAATTTGTTTTTGACTAAATCCAATGTTGCTCTTATCTGTGAGTCTCTAACCCCTCAAAATCCATTTGTATTATGTCTTTATTCACTCTGTTGCTTGTTATATCTTACAGCTCAGTATAATTTGTGAATTACATTAATATGCTATTTACTCTCGCTTCGAAATCTCATGTACTGTACCTCTTTTCATGTAGCTTCTTACCAAGAATAAAGTAGGTGCCTACTAAATTAAATGTTTCAATGTTACTTAGTTTGGAAGGGTTATGAATATAAAGAAAGAAAAAATGATAGAAGAGGATTGAATAGATTTTGCAAAAAACAGATGCTGATAAAATGTGATGTCTGATGAAAAAACATGCTGGAGGAAAATAGATAAAAAATATGTGCATTGGAGGTGTGAAATAATTGGAAAATAGTCATTTAGAAGAGAACAGCAAAAGTATTAATACATAATGCAGAACTTACATTTAACAAAAATAACATGTATACTTAGGAAACTAGATTATTGGAGCTGAAAGCCAATCTGGGGACTATTAAATGTTTCCTTCCTTTTTTATTGATAAGGAGAGAAAGCCCAAGGGACTTTGTCGAGGGCATACCCCAAAGAGTTACAAAGAATATTCTAGAAGCCAAGTTTCATTTTTCCTAATTAGCTGTTCTTTCCCAGTCTTCTACATATGCAAGAACTTATGGGTTATAAATGAATGATACATAGATCTTTTTGAATTTTATGATATCATTATTAAAATAGGGAGGA
The DNA here is from genome assembly GCF_000001405.40 of Homo sapiens. Lineage (NCBI taxonomy): Eukaryota > Metazoa > Chordata > Mammalia > Primates > Hominidae > Homo > Homo sapiens. Next base: position 137,436,243 of record NC_000008.11, on the reverse strand, counting down.
TAGTCATCATTTTCTTTATCTGACACATTAAAAATCTAAGGCTCAGGGAGGCAGTGATTAGTGGAAGAGCAGGCTTCTAGTTAGTGGTGAGGACAGACCCCAAACTTTTTTTCTCATTCCAAGGCCAACGTTCTTGCAAATATACCACACTGATCCTGACATAAAATGACTATCCAATTACATTAGAAAGAAACATGATAACAAACTAGCCCATCTTCAATCTAAAAGCTGAAGAGACACGATGACTGCTGAGATAACAGAAAAATAAATTTTAGAAACTTGCCAATGGTTGCAGACTGGAGGGTGAACAAACATTAACACTGCATTCAGATAGCCCAGAATTGAAATACAGCTTTGATGTTTCTGGTCAATATCGACATTGTTGTCAACGCCAGCCCCATGTAAACTGTAAATTGTCACTTGGGCAGGCCTACTTGTGGTAATTGTAATTGGCTGGAGACATAAAATGTGATCGAGCCATTTCCTGATATTCATCTGCATGGGCAGAATGAGTACCGGGAAGCAGGGGGGTTTGGCTTCTCATATTTCTATGTTAGCATCAGATTCTGGGAATCAGAACACCAGGTCGATAGCATTAACACATAGATGTGAATCTCTAGAATAGCTACAGAAACAGCTGACAGGAGAGGAGATTCTCAAAGTATACTGGAGAAAAATTAAGATGGAGTGTATCAGCATTGATCAGAAATAGGTATTGCTTTGAAATATTCTTCGCTTTAGGTTGGATGTTTGCACTATTTCATTTTCACAGTACTTTATAAAAATGTGCATTCAATGCAAACTGAACAATAGAAAAAATGTGTATACTATTCTTACAGATATAATAGCAACTAAAACAAACATCATGTGTTCTTATATGAAGTGTCTCTAGATTTGGATGTAGATTAACTCTGATTGAACCCCACTACCACACATAACTACATTGCTAATTATACATGTATGTACATAAGAATTTAGGCAGAAGGTTTTAAACAAGTAAATACTTGATTTACATTAGAGAATACATGGAAATTCTTAACCAATTTCCTACTGTACTTATTAGCAGTGCTACTTTTGGCTGGTCACTTAATTTTTCTGAATCAATTTTCTTAACTTTAAGTGTAATAAATAACATTTGCCTTAATACCCAGAGGGTTGTTATGAGTATTTGCATAATTTGATATATTAAAGTAGTTTAGAAAATCTGAGAGGGTTTCAAAATGCCCAAAGACAGAGATATACTAGACCACAGCTGAGTTAAAAGCAAGAGTAACTATCTCAAGTATTTGATATTTTGAGTGGGAAATAAAAGTAGAGATTTCCAATATATACTTCTATGTACTCTAAATGAAGTTGCTGCTAAATTTATGCTTTTTAGTTAGTTTTTTTGTTTTCCAGTTTAAGCAGACTCCAGGCCAGTAACTGCAGATAGGAAAGGACAGGTTGGTTTCAAGACTCCAGATAATGATATCCAAAAGGGAAAATTGGAGCAAAATAATATGGAGCCAAGGCAGAAAAACATCCAGTGGTGGAACTTATGGGTCAACAAGTTTTTCTGGGCCCATGAGTACCCTGGGTGCAATCTATGTGAGCCCCCACTTACCCTCATAGGGAACAAGATGAGCCCTGGTGTTTATCTCATTTACACAGGTGAATGCCTGGGTTGGATCAGGGAGTTCAAAACAGATTAGCTGGGGCAGGTACAGGCTGCAGATTTACTCTGAGAAGAAATGCAACAGCCACTTTGGAGAGATAAGCCAATGACCGAAGTGGAAAAATTAAATAATTATCACAAAGTCACGAAAGTGGGAGAAACAAGTGGTCAAGATCAAGATGACCACAGCAGCAGCATGGTGTCCGGGAGCTGGAGCAGCATGGGCCTGGATGAGGACGCCCATGTCTGGGGGATCTGTGCCCTGCTTTGAGGGACTGGCTGCTCAGTGCATTGGCAGTGAGAAAGGTAGAAAAATATCCCCTCTCAAAGATGTCTACATCTTAAACACTAGAACCTGCAAATGTATTACCTTATAGTACAAAAGGGACTTTGCAGGTGTGATTAAGTTAAAGATTTTGAGATGAGGAGATTATCTTGGATCACCATAGATTATGTCCAATATAATCACAAAGGTCCATACAGAGAGAGGCAGGAAGGTCGGTGTCAGAAGGGCAGTGTGGCAATGGAAGCTGAGATTGTAGAGGTGTATCCAGGAGCCAAGGAATGTGGAAAATCTCTAGAAGCTGGAAAAGGCAAAAAATAAAATAAAATAAAATAAAATAAAATGTAATTTTCCCCTGGAGTTTCCAGAAAGAACACAGTCTTGCCAACATGCTGATTGTAGCCCTATACAATTCATTTTGGATATGTGACCTTCAAGAACATAAGATAATAAATTTGTGTTGTCTTAAGCCATCAACTTTGTGGTAATTTTTTACTGCAGCTCTGGAGATGAAAACAGGCAGATGAGTCTATTTTTAGGATTCATCCAGAGTCTAGGCAGGGCTCTTCATGGGTATTTAACAGATTTGAGAAAAGGCAAGAAATAACTAATGGGGAAGCAGATTCTAAGGACACGAGAAAATAATTTTTAAGACCACCTTGAATAATATTTTGACCTCCTCAATCTATATTTTTAATATCCTAAATCCTCCATTCTCTGAATAACCTCATTCATTCGAGCATATATAAACTAGCTGTTGACTTCTTAATTAACAAAACTAACTTAGATTTTGGTACCCAAAAAATCAGTGGTTCTTTTACTTGTAAATTCAATAAAGTGGGAGTCGCCATCAAATAGAATATTTTTTAACCATAATGATTATAGGGAACAAATTTTTAAAATAGTCTGTTATATACAGAATTCTTTTGTCTTAGCAGACTTTATTTTTAAAGAGTGATTTAGCAAAAAATGTCGTATTTGGAATTTTTATATTGCTTGTCCCACATAGTTTGTAATAACAAGAGAAAAAAGCATTTTCCAATAATTTGTATTTATTTTTTCTCCACTATGGAGTATATAGAAAGGAATATTGGGATTTTGTAGTTTTTTACTAACATTAACCATTTTAAACATTTTTAAAAGGATTTTCTGTCCAGTTCACACATTTTTTTCCTCCTCTTAGAAAGCTTTTTCCACCTACAGGAGTGAGTATCACAGGCCTGGCTATGCACCCTGCCCATGGACAACAGGTACAGGGGCAAATACCTGAGCCAAGGTGGGCTTGAGAGTCTCTCTCCCTGAAGCGTGACCCCTGACCTGTGGATATACTACCTGCTTATGAGTTGACAAAAAATATATACATATATTAAAAGCCTGTGTTGGTGACCTCATTGTAATGCATGCTCTTGTACTTTGCTGGTGGACTTGCAACTTGGAACACAACTTCCTGAGAACAACTTTGCAACATAAAAAGAACTATAATAAAGTAAATGTCCTTAGCCTAATAATTTGTCTCCTGATTTAATAAAAATAAAACATTCAGAGGTGTTTACAAAGTAGGTACACAAGAATGTTTACAGTAATATTAAAATTTATAAGTATAAAAAATTTGGAAATACTCAGAATGCCTAATAAAAAGTGACTATTTTGTTGTAAATCATGATACTTTCATAAGCTAGCATAAGCCATTAAAATCATGATTTTGTGGTATTCTTTATGATATTCAGAAGCTTCACAGTATGTCAATAACCAAAATATAAAATTATAGTAAGCTTTCAATTTGATAAAAAAATACATATTTATGGATAGAAAAATGTTTACAGTGGTAGTCTAGCAGAATCGAGGTTAATTTTTGTCTTGTTATTTATAATCTTCCATATTTTGCAAATTGGCTACAATTAAGATATACCAATATCCTTTAGTCATACAAGCCAGAAACTAGGACATGCCTCTTGATAACTTGTCCTCCCTCCCTCAGGCTTCAGTTCTAATCAGTTTAACTCCTGCTTTATTTTTTAACCCATTTATTTCTCCCTGTATTCACCCCTAACACTCAAACCCAAGCTCCCATTATCTCTCTTCTGTGTTGTATGAACCTCCTGTGTGATCTATCACCAAACTCTCCTGAGCCTTTTTAGTTCATTATGTACATGTTGACCGTATGATAATAGCAAAACATAAATTGCATCATGTAAATACCCAATTTAAAAACCTCAGTTAGCTTCCCCTAAAACTTGGAATAAATACCAAATGTTTGGTTTTACATATAAAGCCCTAGTGATCTGAATCCTACCTAATTCTCAACTCCATTTCTGACCACTTCCCCACAGAACCTAGTGCCCTCCTTATTCGTTGATCAATATGTCTATTATCCTTATAGCCACAGGGCATTTGATTTCTCAGGTCCTTCCAAGAACTGAGACTTCAGCTTCAAATCACATCCTCAAACAATTCTTGCTGGTCTTTCTAAATCCTTCTGGTTCCTCCTCACTTTATAAGCTTGCACGATGCTTCACACTTCTACTTCACAATGAGCATCCCAATTCTAACCGAGTAACTTTGTGTCATGGTTTGGCAAGTCTGTTTCATCTTCTACACCATAAGCCCTGCGGGTAGCATGTCTATGTTTTTTTAATGCCTTTATCCTCAAATCTAGTTAGTGTTGTGCAGAAGGTAGGTTTTCTAACATTTCTATATTCAGTAAATGGATAAAACTTAGTAATACAATTATTACCTAATCTAGCTGAGCCACAGGAAGTCTTATGAGAAACCAAAAATCAATAAGCAGCCTCATTATCCTGACAGGGTCCTTGGTTCAGACACTTTTTCCATATCTATTATGAAATATTTTTTTCTCACTTGTCTCCAACAGTTTCACAAAATGTGATATGAATCTTGGCTTTTAGTAGGTGACTACTGCTTCACGAATTATTATAGTATAGTATCTCTGTGTAATCTGTATCTGTATAATCAGTATCTCTGTATACTGTGTAATCAGTATCTCTGCATAATCAATGGTGAAGCAGTAGTCAACTTTTCAAAATACTCTACAATTTTCTGTTTATACACAGGAGTTTTCTCTGGGTTCTTCATCCAAATGTTTACACAGAATCTCCTTGTGTTTGTTGGTTTCCTTAATTTCTTTTTCATTTCCTCATGACAAAGCAAATATTCTCTTCCTAATTCATTTGCATTGGTAACTCATTTTTTTTTTTTTTACATTCTCTTCTTGATCTGGCTTCTGTATTTGGTTTCTCTTACATACAGTATCTTTTGTGTCTCCCATCTTAGCACTCAAAGTGTATCCTACAGATAAGTGATGTGCAAGTTCTGCCCTTTACTGAATACAACCCAAAGAATTAAGCCAAAGAACTCAGGTCCTAGTTTTTAGGATTGTGATTGTTTTTCCAGATTTGCCTGGTTTACCTCTTTAATCTTCCCCCTTTGATTGATGACTCGCTTATAGACAGGCTGGGTCTGAACTGGTACTGTTCCAGAATACTATGTCTAGTAATTATTCTTTGGATTTATGCAATTGCGTATGGCACAGTGGTTTATTTGTACACAATCCTGCTTTTTTACTGAGATGTAACTCTTAATAGGCAAATATTCTGTCTCATGCATTTCCATAGACCCTGCAACATCTAGTAGGTGCCTATGCACAGTAAGTATTTAATCCACATTTACTAGAAAAAATAAATGGAGGTTGGAGCTCTAGAAGTGACCCTGGACATGCCTTGGGCTCTGTCAATATTAGGTATGCATCAATGAGGTAGATTGCTACTGCTCGACTATTGCATTTGGAATTTTGTGTGCTAGGTTAGGTAGAAAGTGTTCATTGCATCCTTTGACAATCTCTACATGAAGCTTATAAATTCAGTTTTTATATAACATCTCTGTTTGAAGACTCCTGGAAAATAAGATTTCTTTTCCACACTAAGAGAAATATTTATGTGAGTTAAATGACCAGCCTTGCAAAACATGTATTTAAGGGCTAAAAGAATGAGTATAATAAAAGCCAAACTAAATTTTAGTCTACCTAATTTAAGTATCTCTAATTCAACAGCATGACTATTTCATCTTAATGGCACCATCTAGTGTAGTACTGTCATTCTCGTGCCAAAAATTGATTAGATGAACTCTTTGTAAAAATTATGATGACTGGGAAAATATGGGCGAATTTAATTTCATCAGCCCAGAAAATATGATCTTCTCTCCTAATGGAGTGGAACATAAAAAGAAGAAATAGAGGGCCAAGTTAGTTGCAGTAATTAGGGAGCTGGCCAAGAAATGAGACTTATGGTTACTTACAATGCCTTTCCATGGAAGTCTGATCAAAGGAACCCTCAGTAGTATTGAGCTGATAGCACAGATACAGTTTATTAAGAGGTGAGTGCAAAACTGACTACTTTTTTCAAAATCTCAGCTTTGGCATTTTTCTGTTAATGTATTGAGTGTTGTCAATAGAAACTCAATCCCCATGTCTGAACAGGAGTTTTCCCTTTCTCTTTTCAATGAATGAATAGGTGAAAGATCCCTTGGAATCTGAAGTCATTAACAACTTTTATTTGATTTATATACTCTTTAATTTGCATTCATCAGATATTCTAGAGCATCTGACAGCATTTGGAACAGCAGAGAACTAGATTTGGGGAATATTAGCTTTGTATTTCCCCATAATAAATATCTAAAAGTGTAATTCTGATATTTACACAAATAAATATTTAAAAAGTGAAAAAAAAAGAAGCACAAAGTCATATTAAGATTTTGGTGAAGAATTTTATCTCATTGTTAAGATCTGATGCAGTTTAATAAGTTTTACAAAATAAATAAAATTTTCCCTGAGAATTGAAAAATAGATTGCAAATGCAACAGCTCCAGCTTCCCAAATAATTAAAATATTGGAAGGATTTATGAAGCTTTAGCATAAATCCTAGAGTAGGAAAATTTTTTTAAAAAAAGATGTCACAAAGCTCAAATTCTAAAGACTGGCCTTACTCTTTACTTCTCAGATAAAATTTTTTTTAAAAATGATATTGTAAGTAAAAATTGCAACATCATTAAGGGTCATTTAAACAGATATTATTTCACTATTTTGAAGTAATGTCACTAATTTTTTTTTACATTCACTTATAGAGTCTAAAATAATGTAGTAAGGCATATCACCAACTGTAGTTCTTACACATACAGTTACTCAAGAAATGGTTGCTAAAATGTCTATAGCTGTATGGAATATAAAACAATATGTCTGTGGTTCAGAAGCTCTTCATCGTATCTCATACATGGTTAAATTCAGAATCAAACAATAAAGACTGTGATATATAAATAGCAACAGAAAGAGAGAGAGAGAGTGGACACAGATGTGAGCACAGGGGAAAAATGGTATTTATATTTTAATTAGTCAATAACATATTCTGGTTATTGATACTGCTTATCATAATATCATATGTGTTATAGCTTATGTAAGTTACCAAAACTTGTATGGTCTGTATAATGTTTAGTTTTCTAACAACTCTTAAGGCAGAAATGGACAATATTATAATCTCAGTTATATAGATGAAACATCTCACTTTCAGAATATTAAACAACTTCCCAAGGCTACCTAAGTAATACATGAGCTACTTTTATTTTTTTAAACTTGAAACTATAGAACTCATTAGTTAGTGTCACACATGCATAAAAAATAAACTTATAAACCATTGGGAGAAATCATAGGATGATACCTTTGCAATGTGAGAGTAGACAAAGATTTTTTAGACACGATATGAAATGCAATAAACATAAAATAACAAAGATGAATTAGACTACATCAACATTAAAATCTCTGCCCCATCTGAAGACATTATTAGACAAATAAATTGGTAGTCACAGACTGGGAGAAATTATTGACAACACATATATTTTACAAAGGACTTGTTTCCAGAATATATACAAAACTCTTATAATTCTGCAAGAAAAAGAAAACAATCCTCTAAAAATGGAAAATGTTTGAAAAAAGAGTTTATAAATTAGCAAAACAGAGGAAGATTAAACACGTGAAAAGATGTTTGACTTCAATAGTCATGAGGGAAATGCAAATTAAAGCCACAATAAAATAGCACTACACACTCATTAGAATGAGGAAACTTTAAAAAAAAAATAGAAAAAGTGACGGGTTGATAGGTTCAGCAAACCACCATGGCACACGTTTACCTATGTAATAAACCTGCACATCCTGCACATGTATCCTGGAACTTTTAAAATTAAATCATAGGCATGGGCAAAGACTTCATGACTAAAACACAAAAAGCAATGGCAACAAAAGCCAAAATTGATCTAGATGGCATCTAATTAAACTACAGAGCTTCTGCACAGCAACAGAAACTATTATCAGAGTGAACAGGCAACCTACAGAATGGGAGAAAATTTTTGCAATCTATCCATCTGACAAAGGGCTAATGTCCAGAATCTACAAAGAACTTAAAAAAAATTTACAAGAAAAAAAACAACCCCATCAAAAAGTGGGCAAAGCATATGAACAGACACTTCTCAAAAGAAGACATTTATGCAGCCAACAAACATATGTAAAAAAGCTCATCATCACTGGTCATTAGAGAAATGCTAATCAAAACCATGATGAGATACCATCTCATGCTGGTTAGAATGGTGATCATTAAAAGATCAGGAAACAACAGATGCTAGAGAAGATATGGAGAAATAGGAACACTTTTACACTGTTGGTGGGAGTGTAAATTAGTTCAACCATTGTGGAAGACAATAGGGTGATTCCTCAAGGATCTAGAACCAGAAATACCATTTGACACAACAATCCCATTACTGGGTATATGCCCAAAGGATTATAAATCATTCTACTATAAAGACACATGCATAAGTATGTTTATTGCAGCCCTATTCACAATAGCAAAGACTTGAAACCAACCCAAATGCCCATCAATGATAGACTGGATAAAGAAAATGTGGCACATACACACCATGGAATACTATGCAGCCATACAAAAAGATGAGTTCATGTCCTTTGCAGGGACATGAATGAAGCTGTAAACCATCATTCTCACCAAACTAACACAAGAACAGAAAACCAAATATTGCATGTTGTCACTCATCAGTGGGAGTTGAACAATGAGAACACATGGACACAGCGAGGGGAACATTACACACTGGGGCCTGTCAGGGGGTGGGGAGCTAGGGGAAGGATAGCATTAGGGGAAATACCTAATGTAGATGATGGATTGATGGGTGCAGCAAACCATCACGGCACTTGTATACCTATGTAACAAACCTACACGTTCGGCACATGTACCCTAGAACTTAAAGTAAAACAAAACAAAACAAAACAAAAAAACCTGACAATACAAAGAATTGGTGAGAATGCAGAGGAACTGGAACACATACATTGCTAGAGGGAATTCAAAATGAAATGTTTGGATAATAACTTGGCATTTTCTTTTAAAGTTAAACATACCCTAACCATATAACCCATCAATTACACTCCCAGGTATTTTACACAAGATAAATAAAAATATATGTCTGCACAACAAACTGTACATTTACCTATAGTAGCTAAAACCTGGAAACCACACATGTCCACTAAGAGGTTGTGTAGAAAAGATGCGATATGCTCATACAATAAAATACTGTGTGTGAAAACAAGGAAATTGGCTGCTGATACACACAGCATGGATGAATCTCAAACACATTACTTTGAGAGGAGTAAACTACCCACAATATTTGGATACAAAATAGTATATCATATGATTCTACTTATATGAAGATCTAGAAAATTTAGACATATTCTCTAATGAGAGAAAGCAGACTGGCCTGGAGCCTGTGGAAAGTGAAGTCGGAAATGGGTAGAAAGCAACTTTACTGAGTTATAAAACTATTTGGTATCTTGATAATGGTGACAGTCATCCAGGTGGATTCATTTGTAAAAAATCACTAAAATGTGCATTTAAATGTGTGCATTTTTTCATATATAAATTATACATCAATAACTTTGATTTATACAAATGCACTGAACTATGATACTGTTTGCCACAGAATACATCTGTGAATCATATTTTATTTTATTTTTACTCTTGCTCTGTCGCCCAGGCTGGAGTACCGTGGCATGATCTTTTGGCTCACTGCAACCTCTGCCTCCTGGGTTCAAGCGACTCTCCTGCCTCAGGCTCCCGACTAGCTGGGATTATAGTCGCCTGCCACCATGCCCGGCTAATTTTTGTATTTTTATTAGGCACAGGATTTCACCATGTTGGCCAGACTGATCTCGAACTCCTGACCTCAGGTGATCCGCCTACCTTGGCCTCTCAAATTGCTGGAATTACAGATGTGAGCCACTGTGTCCAGCCCATGATTCATATTTTAGGTCTTGTATGACTTGTCTGTTGTTCCATAACAAATTACATCATAATTTAGTGTCTTAAAACATTAAGCACTGATAATCTCACACACCTGACATCTCTGGTTCAAAATCTGGTAATAAGTTTGCTGGGTGGTTTGATCTTAAGGTCTCAAGTGGTTGCCAGGGATACAGTCAACCGTGGGCTTCTCTGAGCAGGGAAGCCACTTTCTAGGCGATACATGAACATGCCCGGAAATGGGTGCTGGTCATTTACAGGAGATCCCAGTCTCTTGCCAAAAGGACCAGACCATAGGGATGCATTAGCATATTTATGATATGGTAGCTGGTTCTGCCAGAGCAAGCAATTCAAGAGACAGGAAAGTGGAAGCCACAAGGTCTTTTGGGTCTTAGCATCAGAAGTCACAGTTGCAATTTCTTCCACATACTGTCGGTCATGCAGGTCAGTCTTCTCTACCCAGGGAGAACTGCACAAAGACCTGGGTACCAGGAATCCAGGCACATGGGGGCATTTTGGAGACTGACAACCAAAGACCTCTATTCAAAACTGTCAATATGTTAAGCATATAATTTTTAATCAATAATTTTAATGAATTAATTCTATGTAATTTATTCATATTAATTCAGTATCTAATAGTTTTCTATTTCCTTTTTCTCTGTACTGTCCCATGGACAATTTCAAGGTGGCTGTCATCAAGTGGGTCATTTATTTTTAATATATATAATTTTATGGTGATTGATAGACACTAAATCAAATGAAGTTGGATTTAGTGTATATTCAAAGGGGAGTTATAGGCAAGAAAGGAAAGATAATCAGAGTAGTCCCACTAAGAAGCTCACAGATAATCAGCAGTCAATCAGAGATTTAAGTTCAGGTATTCAAACTTCAGGGATATTTCCATAAGGATGTCAAATCAATTCAAGTGTTACAAGTGAGAGGACTGTGGGAAGCCCCTGTCAACTGAGGCAGAAGACAGCAGCTGCTTCCCTTTGGAAGGCCACGTGCTCTGTGAGAACTGCCTTCCTTCTGGACCCACGACCTAAGTGAGGATGGGTCCTCTCCAGACTGTAGTCCATGCACCATCTTGGACCACCCACCCTTAGACCACCCACTCCCACATCTATTACTCCATTCTCAACCCTACCTCAGCACCCCTAGTTCTCTGATCCAGGGCCCTGACGTGGCCTAGAGTTCAGAGCCCCAGCCCTGGGGACTGGTCCTCGCCCATGCTACAGAGATCACCCATGGTCCACCAGGCACCCCACCTGAGAGGGGTACCAGGTTTAGTGCTGCTGCCATGGCTACTGCACCGGCACCCTCGCCGGCCCCTGAACAGCCTTCGTACTCTGCTTGCTGAGGGCCAAGAGACACCCTGACTCTCCAGGACTTTCCCTTCCACCCTTGGAAGATATTAAGCTTCCAAGTTGTGGCTACAGCTACAAATACACAAAACAAAACAAAACCTTGTTTTCCAGAAAAAAATTAAATAAAGATTATTGCTGTTATGATTTTTAATACTTTAATCATTTCGCTCCTACATTCTATACCATATTCTAGCATGACTTGCTGTTCTGCGTTAAAGATATCCCTCAGTGCCCATCTTTGAATTTTACAAAAGAATGATTTTTTTTATACATACAGAAGTTCAGAGTGTTTTTTATATACATTCCATTCAGTCCTTACAACCATCCTATGAAGTAGGCAGATGTTGACTTTCCACATATGAAAGATGAAATAGTGAGTCTCTGATGGGCTTTATATAAACTGGCAGAGGTCATATAACCCATCCAAAATAGAATCAGTCTTCATTACTAGAACTTTTGATGCCAAATCCCAGATTTTCGTTTTATAACAAAACGTCACTCCTTGTCATGTTTTAATTTCAGTTCTCACCTTTAATCCTTGCTACCTAGCTTTTGTTTATTGTTTTTTTTTTTTTTTACCAGTAGCATAAAACAGAGCTGATAGGTTTGTTTTTTAATTAACTGTCTGCATGTAGAAAATGTAATTAGCTGAATTTGACATGGTTATATGAATCAGCATCAGTTTAATTCAGGTATTTAAACATTTATATAGCATTTAGTGTGTGCCAGTTTATTCCTTGAGAATGTCACATTGAGCATATTATGTTAAATAGCCTAAAAAGTCTCACTTATTTTTGTTTTGCGTTCTCCCTCTTCCTCCCTCCCTCCTTCCTTCCTTCCTCTTTCTTTCTTTCTCTTTCTTTTCTTTTTCTTTTCTTTCTTTCCTTCTTTCTTTCCTTCTTTCTTTCTTAATATTTTGATAATACGTAAAATTAGAAGGGATATTTATTAAACCCTATGCACCTATCACTCAGATTCAGTAATATGACCATTTTGCCAATCTTATTTCACATATCTCTCCTGGATTTTAAACATCATTTTTTTTAGGACAATATTTTTGCCTTAGCAATATCCAAAGGTGACTGTGCAATATACGCCTGTAAGAAACCTGCACTTGTGTCCCCTACATAGAAATAAATAGATTTTAAAAACATTACATCACATCATGTGTTAGCATAAATAAAAATAAAAATATCCAAACTCATTTAAAAAAATACACATAAGTAAATTAAAAATAAAAAGTGTTCCTGGTCAAAGAATAATAATACAGTTAAAAAAAAATAGAGGAAGAAAGGGAAAGAGGGAGATGGGGAAGAAGCACAAAAGTAAACTATGCATGCAAACAGAATTTTTAAAAGTTTTTTTTATGTTCACTTTATCATCTTGCTGCTATTCTTTATGGTAAACATTTCCTCTAATCTGCTATAAAATCCAAGTCCTGAAGTCTGCGTTTCCCAAATTTGGTATGGTTCACACATCTCACTTATGGTTTCTGTTTGCATGGTTAATGTTTTTCCATCCTCTTATCTTTTACCCTAGCTATGTTTAAATTTTAAATTCACCTCTTGAAGACAGCACAGATTTAAATCTTGAATTTTAGTCCAGTCTTCATTTCTTAATTGGATATTTAGTCAATTCCCATTTAATTTAACTATTTGTATGGTGGAGCTTGAGCTCATTCATTTTCTCTTCATTTGCTGTTTATCTTATTAGCTTTTTATTTTTCTTGGTTCCCTTATTCTTGCCATTTTTGGGGGAGTTAAACTAAAAAATGTTCTAGTTCATTTACTTTATCAACTTTTTTCTACAACTTTTTCCCCAATGTTTGATTCAGTGATTTCAATGAATATTCCTCATTAATTAAAAGCTAATTAGGTTAATATAATGCTACACTATGTAAACTATAATAAACTTACAAACTAAAATTCCCTTTACCCTATCCTTTTGCTATTTCACCATACAATTTATTTTTACAGATGTTATAAATTCCAAACTACAAGTTAACATTTTACCTTACAGCAGCAACATATATTTTAAAGATATTAAGTAAGAAAAATATATGAAAGTTGGCTTTAATATTTATCCCCATAGATACTCTTCCTCAAGCATTTAGTTCTCTGTAGATTTGATTGCCCTCCAATCCCAGTATAATTTCCATTACACAAATAAAACTTTCTTTTGACATGTTATATAGCGTTGTTTTCACGATGACAAATTCTTTCAGATTTCAAGTCAATATGTCTTTATTTTGTCTACATGCTTTGAATAATATTTCTACTAGACACATAATTCTGGGTTGATATATTGTTTTAATTGCTTTGAGAATGTCATTCTATTGTCTTCCGTTCATTGCTTCTGATTAAATGTCAATTATCTTTTATTTTATTTTCCTTGCATGCAGTAGGCCTTTATTCTTTTTCTGGCTGCTTGTAAAATTTTATCTATTGTGTTCAGTCCTACTCAAATGTGCCTGAGTGTGTTTTTACTGCCGTGGTGTTACTGTTTTTCTCAGATCTGTAGATTGAGTTTTTAAAACAAATTTTTGGAGGTTTTGGCAATTAATTTATCAATATTTCACCTTTTCCACTCTTTCTCTCTTCTACTAGGGCTTTAACTGCATGCATGCTCATCACTTGATATTTCCCCAAAGGCGATTTTTTTTTTCTATCTATTTTCCTATTTGATTATTTGTATTGATCTGTCCTCAAGTCTGCTGATCTTTTTTTCTATAATCTTCAGTTTTCTGCTCAGTCTGTTCATTGAACATTTCCTTTTAAATAGTTTGATTTTCAGTTCTATCATTTCCTTTGGATCTTTTTTATTAGTTTTTTTTCTAAAAATGTACCTTTCTCATCATGTCTATTTTTTTCATTTAAGTTCTTCGACACATTTATGATAGCTACTGTAATGCTTTTGTTTAAGTCTAACATTTGTGTCATTTTTGTGTTTGTTTCTGCAGATTGATATTTTCTCTTGATCATAGTTCTTTTTGTGTTTGGAAATCTTTTAAAATTGTGTTGAACGCTGTGAGTGGTTGACTGTAGGGGCTCTAGATGATGCCTTCCCTTATAGGGCATTATGTTTTTCTGTGGCTTAATATTATTAAATTAATTATATTTGATATTGAATGTCTGGCTTGGTATTATTCTTTGTTATATCAATCTGCTCCATCATCCTATACTACGATGTTTACTTTAGGATGTCATCCTTTACCCTTAATGTCTGACGTTTTTAGGACCTCAACTCTGAATGAGTTGCTCATTAAGAGTATTTTACATACTGCAAGGCCAGAAATATAGCATATACTAGCTCTGCAATATCTTCAACATATCTGTTTAGCTCTCATCCCTATAGCTACCACTCTCTAGTAGACATTGCAAAGTTTATTCTACAAAAATGCAGGCCAAGTCTTCAACAAAAACCTGTGGAGAAGTCCTATGCCTATGTCTTTACCCTCATCTCTCTCCTTTCCAGTCCCCGGTTCACCGTGTGAAAGCTGCTTCAGTATCATTAAACTCTTGTCTCTGCCTCATTAGCTCAGTGGAACGGCCATTCTCTGCTTGGGTGTTACCTAATTACATTACAATCCAGGAAGTGCCCTCAGCTAAAGACATGGCAAGATGGGACTCATCTAGTGTATTTCCATTCTCCTAGGAATTACAGGACTTTGATCTTGTCCTGTTGTCCAAAGCCTGGTAGCTATTTTCTCAAATACAGTGTTCAGTTCTATAGCAATTTATATTTGCATCTCAGGGGTTGTGATTAACTACTTTATCCTGACCACAAGCAAAACTCCAGCATTTAAACCAGGTAATTTACTACAATACAGGCAGTATCTTCAATGGCTTCCATTCTAGGTATCATTGAATAATCTAAACAAATGATTGCTATTACTTTTCCATTTCTTAGAGGGTGTTTTAGTAAGTGTTAGCTGACATTTTTTAATGCCATAGATTGTATAATTTAAACAATAGAAATTTTTTTTTTTTCACTGTCTGGAGGCTACAATTTTGAGATCTGGGTGCCAGCATGGTCAGGTTCTGATGATGGTTTTCTACCTAGTTTGCTGATGGCCATCTTGTGTCATCACTTGGAAAAGAGAGAGAGAAGGGGGGGGGTGGGGAGAGAGAGTAAGTGAGTGCATGCTTTCTGATTTCTATGGTGATTAAAGACGTTAATCCTATCATCTACATGTGCATTTACATACATCAAATGTTTATTCTCCCCTGTGCTGATGTTTATGTTTTTCTTAAGGAATTCTCAGACAAGGAACCTATTGGTATGAGTATATGCATGTGGACTATCTTAGCACTTCAGATATCACTGCGTCTCAATTTCAGAACACACAAACCCATCATATGTATATATACACTTTATATATATATACACACATATATATGTATATAAATATATATACACACATATACATGTATATAAATATATATACACACATATATATGTATATAAATATATATACACATTTATATATACACATCATATATAGAGAGAGAGGGTCTATAATACTGATATGGTTTGGCTGTGTCCCCACCCAAATCTCACCTTGAATTGTAATAATCCCCACGTGTCAAGGGCAGGACCAGGTGGAGATACTTGAATAATGGGAGTGTTTTCCCCCACGCTGTTCTCATGGTAGTTAATAAGCCTTATGAGATCTGATAGTTTTATAAATGGGAGTTCCCCTGCACAAGCTCTCTTGCCTGCTGCTATGTAAGATGTATCTTTGTTCTTCATTCACCTTCAGCCATGATTGTGAGGCCTCCCCAGGCATGTGGAACTGTGAGTCAATTAAACCTCTTTTCTTTATAAATTACCCAGTCTTGGGTATGTCTTTATAGCAGCATGAGAACAGACCAATACAGTAAATTGGTACTGGTAGAGTAGGGTGCAACTGTAAAGGTACTCAAAAATGTGGAAGCGACTTTGGAACTGGGTAACAGGCAGAGGTTGTAACAGTTTGGGGGAATCAGGAGAAGATATAAAAATGTGGGGAAGTTTGAAACTTCCTAGAGACTTGGAGGGCTCACAAGACAGGAAGATGTGGGAAAGTTTGGAATGCCTTAGAGATTTGTTGAATGGCTTTGAGCAAAATTCTGATAGTGATATGGACAATAAAGTCCAGGCTGAGGTGGTCTCAGATGGGGATGAGGAACTTGCTGGGAACTGGAGCAGAGGTGAGTTTTGCTATGCTTTAGCAAAGAGACTGGTGGCATTTTGCCCCTGCCCTAGAGATCTGTGGAATTTTTAACTTGAGAGGGACGATTTAGGGTATCTGGCTGAAGAAATTTTTAAGTGGCAAAGAGTTCAAGGGGAAGCAGAGCATAAAAGTTTGAAAAAATGTGCAACCTGACAAAGCAGTAGAAAAGAAAAACCTGTTTTCTGGGGAGAAATTCAAGCCAGTTGCAGAAATTTGCAGAAGTAACAAGGAGCCAAATGTTAATCACTGAGTCAATGGAGAAAATGTCTCCAGGGCATGGCAGAGACATTTGAGGCAGCCCCTTCCATCACAGGCCCAGAGTCCTAGGAGGGAAAAATGGTTTCCTGGGCTGGGTCCAGGCACACCCCTGCATGTGCAGCCTTGGGACTTGGTGTCCAACAACCCAGCCACTCCAGCCATGGCTAAAAGGGGCCAAGGTACACCTTGGGCTGTGACTTCAGAGAGTACAAGCCCCAAGTCTTGGTGCTTCCACATGGTGTTGTGCCTGCCAGTACATAGAAGTCAAAAATTGAGGTTCGAGAACCTCCACCTAGCTTTCAGAGGATGTATGGAAATGCCTGGATGTCCAGGTAGAGGTGTACTGCAGGGGTGGAGCACTCATGGAGAGCTTCTGCTAGGGCAGTGTGGAAGGGAAATGTGGGGTGGGAATCTCCACACAGAGAACCCATTGGGGCACTGCCTAGTGGAGCTGTGAGAAGAGGGCCACTGTCCTCCAGACCCCAGAATAGTAGATTCACCAACAGCTTGCAGCATGTGGTGGAAAATGTCAGCCCATGAAAGCAGCTGGAAGGGGGGCTATGCCTTGCAAAACCACAGGGGCTGAGCTGTCCAAGGCTGTGGGAACCTACCTTTTGCATCAGCATGACCTGGATGTAAGACATGGAGTCAAAGGAGATAATTTGGGAGTTTAAGGTTTAGTGACTGCCCTTTTGGCTTTTGGACTTGCATGGGACTTACAGCCCTTTTGTTCTGAAGAATTTCTCCTATTTGGAATGGGAGTATTTACCCAATGCCTGTACCCCTATTGTATTTAGGAAATAACTAACTTGTTTTGATTTTACAGTCTCATAGGCAGAAGGGATTTGCCTTGTGTCAGGTGAGATTTTGGACTGTGGACTTTTGAGTTAATGCTGAAATGAGTTAAGACTTTGGGGGACTGTTGGGAAGGCATGGTTGGTTTTGAAATATGAGGACATGTGATTTGGGAGGGGCCAGGTGTAGAATGATATGGTTTGGCTGTGTACCCACCTAAATCTCACCTTGAATTGTAATAATTCCCATGTGCCAAGGGCAGGCCCAGGTGAAGATAATTGAATCTGGGGGGCAGTTTCCCATATACTGTTCTCCTGGTAGTGAATAAGTCTCATGAGATCTGATGGCTTTATAAAGAGCAGTTCCCCTGCACAAGCTCTCTCTTGCTTGCTGCCATGTAAGAAGTGACTTTACTCCTCTTTGGCCTTCAGCCATGATTGTGAGGACTCCCCAGCCATGTGGAACTGT
The DNA here is from genome assembly GCF_000001405.40 of Homo sapiens. Lineage (NCBI taxonomy): Eukaryota > Metazoa > Chordata > Mammalia > Primates > Hominidae > Homo > Homo sapiens. Next base: position 137,417,843 of record NC_000008.11, on the reverse strand, counting down.
GAGTCAGTTAAACCTCTCTTCTTTGTAAATTACTATATCGTGGGTATGTCTTTATTAGCTGTGTGAAAATAGACTAATACAAATACAGCTACCTAGACCACTTGTGTGTGTGTGTGTGTGTGTGTGTATGCATACCCATACTGCATATGTGTGTATGTATGCTGGCTTAGTGATGACTTAGTTTTAGTAGGAAATCTGGAGCAACTATATGTGTAAATATATATATGTTTGTGTGTGTGTGTGTGTGTCTCAAAAATTTGAATGCAAGTAGCATGATATATAAGAAGTATTAATTAGAATTTGTTAAAAAAAGATACAACACTTTCTTTGCCATTCACTCAGGAGGAATTACCCAGCTATAATTGGGCATAGGAAGAACCTTAGATTATGAGGTTACATTACAGCTGGCATGCATTATGTTTAGAAAAATAGATGTTGTGTTTATGAGTTGCTCTAGAAATACTTTACTCTCTTCAACCCCTAAGTTTCTGCCAGAATTTAAATGCCTTTGTAAGATGTTGAATTGTGCTATTCACAACACTACAAAACTGTCCTGTGCTCAAGTGAGCAGATGATAGTACTCAGATCTTCCAATTTAAAAGATTCACAGGAGGATCCTACTAAAATTAGTCTCTATAAACTGACTCCCACATTTCTTTATCGCTCTAACATTTTCCCCTTGCGCTTTTAACTTTCTGATGAAACTTACAAACTGGGTGTTCTACAGTTTCTCAAATACATTGTGTCTGAAGTTGGATTTATCTTCCTTGCCTGCCTAATCCCCTCTCTTGTTCAATTTATGACACTATCACAACTCCTATTATTCAGACTCTAATGTATGTACAGTAGTCTTTTTTTCATTCCCCTCTACATTGTTTTTCTCAACTAATAAATAAGATTTCTAATTCAGTTACTAATTTCCTCTGCCCCTTGACTAATTTCCTAAACAGTCTCCACTATATCACTTTCCCCTTTGATTTATTCTAAACATACAATCAGTTCACATCAATGATAATAGCACTATAATAAAAAGATGACTAGATCAAGAGACAGATTAGTCTCAGTTCAGCCAGAGATAAGATTAAAACCTTTAGTATATTATTTACATTCTAAAGCCTCCACTTTGTATTTTGGTAAAGTAATTGTGAAACTAAACCATTTATGTTTACTACTTTTTTCAGTTCATTCTTGTTTATTGGACATAAAATATGTACTAAAAGTACAGAGAGTATAGACTGTAAGAATTAAAGAAAGAGGAAAGAAACATAAAAGGTGGCTTGCCAAAACACTTAAAAACTCTTTGTCTGTTAGACAGTGTGCCTCTGACCTAACTCAGCCAGAAGGCTCTTCTCAGGTTTGTTTCTCTAAAATAAACCCATATTAACTGGTATGCCACCTTTTGTGTTCCTTCCTTCTTTAATTCTTACATTGACAAATATTAAAAAATAGATACCACTGGATGGTATCTCATCCAAATGAGTGCCATTCAACAGGCACTTATTTATTCTTTACGCTGTCAAAAATGTTAGGCATTTCAGAAAGAGATGAACAAAACAGATTGTCCTTAGTAGAGGTGCTACATTGCAGTGATAAAGTCTGTTCTTTTAGTAAACTCTCAACAAATATGTTATATAAGTATGTGTGTATGCCTATATGTATAGTCAAAATATATATTCAATATGTTATATGTATATTTGTACATATGACAAATGTTAGAAAAACAATATAAATTTTATCTCACTTTGCTTTTCTAACATTAATTTGAATGTTTTTTCATGTATTTAATTATAACATAGTTTACCAAATTCCCAATTTAAACCATATAAAAGAAAACAGTTCCAATTGTTAAGTATTTACATTGTTTATAATTATTTGTCCCATAAACAATATGAAAATGAATTTTCTTTAAAATTGATTTCTAAATGCATCTCTGAGTACTTCATTGGAATACAGTAAAAGAAATTAATATCTTGAAACTTCCAATCTGCTCTATATTTATGCTAATAAAAATATAATGCAAGCCGCATATATAAGTTTAAGTTTTCTAGTGGACACACTAAAAAGAGTAAAAAGAAATAAATGAAGTTAATCACTTCTTGGCCTTTTGGCTAAGATCAAGTGAAGAAATAAGTAAAATTAACAGTAATAATTTATTTAACCCAATTTATTAAAATATTTCAATGTATAATTATTTAAGAATAATTAAAAAGATATTACATTTTCTAGGTTTTATGGTATTTGTCCCTCAAAACTGAATAAGTGTTTTACACTTAAATCATAGCTCAGTTGACTTGCTGGATTTCAAGTTCTCAATAGCCATACGTGGCTAGTGGCTATCTCACTGAACAGCACAGTTATAGACTGTATAATCAGAATGAAAGCTTCCACAGAACACAGCTGCCTAAAAAATTTATATTTACACTTACAGTACCTGTAATAGTACCTCATCCATGCACAAACACAATAAATATTTATGGAATGAATGTATAAATGCACAAATGTTGGTATATTTCAAATCCAACTTACATAAATGTGGGAAAAAGAGAGATCAGATTGTTACTGTGTCTGTGTAGAAAGAAGTAGACATAAGAGACTCCATTTTGTTCTGTACTAAGAAAAATTCTTCTGCCTTGAGATGCTGTTAATCTGTAACCCTACCCACAACCCTGTGCTCCCTAAGACATGTGCTGTGTCAACTCAGGGTTAAATGGATTAAGGGCTGTGCAGGGTGTGCTTTGTTAAACAAAGGCTTGAAGGCAGCCTGCTTGTTAAGAGTCTTCATCACTCCCTAATCTCAAGTACCCAGAGACACAAAACACTGCAGAAGGCCACAGGGACCTCTGCCTAGGAAAGCCAGGTATTGTCCAAGGTTTCTCCACATGTGATAGCCTGAAATATGGCCTCGTGGGAAGGGAAAGACCTGACCATCCCCCAGCCCGACACCAGTAAAGGGTCTGTGCTGAGGAGGATTAGTAAAAGAGGAAGGAATCCCTCTTTGCAGTTGAGATAAGAGGAAGGCTTCTGTCTCCTGCTCCTCCCTGGGCAATGGAATGTCTCAGTGTAAAGCCCGATTGTATATTCCAACTACTGAGATAGGGGAAAACGGCCTTAGGGCTGGAGGTGGGACATGCTGTCAGCAATACTGCTCTTTAAGGCATTGAGATGTTTATATATATGCTAATCAAAAGCACAGCACTTTTTTCTTTACCTTGTTTATGATGCTGAGACATTTGTTCACGTGTTTACCTGCTGACCTCTCCACTATTATCCTATTGTCCTGCCACATCCCCCTCTCTGGGAAATGCCCGATAATGATCAATAAATACTAAGGGAACTCAGAGGCTGGTGCCCATGTGGATCCTCCGTAAGCTGAACGCCGGCCCCCTGGGCCCCTTTTTCTTTCTCTATACTTTGTCTCTGTGTGTCTTTCTTTTCCAAGTCTCTCATTCCACCTACTGAGAAACACCCACAGGTGTAGAGGGGTAACCCATCCCTTCATATAAATGTCAGTACCTGTTTATATGATTGCTGGTTGCCTAGCTCTCAATACACATTTTATTTATTTAAATATTTTCTAAATGTAGAGGAGCATACTGATATGTCACTATCATTTAGTATTTCTCTTATTTATATGACCTCAGTCATATTCCATACAATAATTGACCATTTGCATTTTAATTTTGTTTATATTGCAGCTCCATTACCAATTATTTAATTGGAATATTTGTGTTATTTTAATAATTACTTGTATTATATATATGCATGTATCTATGTACCTATATTGTGGCCTTCCTTGCTTTTGTGGTGAAAGTTCTTGTGAATTTTTATTTTAATGCTTTAAAGTTGATTATAATGGATTTTACCTATAACATTTTAAACATATTATTAGGGAATTCTCATTTTGTCCATTTTGTGTTTCCCTAATGATATTCAATTAAAATTATAGATTACTATAGTCAGGCCTCTGAGCCCAAGCTAAGCCATCATATCCCCTGTGACCTGCACGTACACATCCAGATGGCCGGTTCCTGCCTTAACTGATGACATTCCACCACAAAAGAAATGAAAATGGTCTGTTCCTGCCTTAACTGATGGCATTATCTTGTGAAATTCCTGCTCCTGGCTCATCCTGGCTCAAAATCTCCCCTACTGAGCACCTTGTGACCGCCCCCCCACTCCTGCCAGCCAGAGAGCAACCCCCCTTTTTCCTTTACCTACCCAGATCCTATAAAACGGCCCCACCCCATCTCCCTTCGCTGATTCTCTTTTCAGACTCAGCCCACCTGCACCCAGGTGAAATAAACAGCTTTATTGCTCACACAAAGCCTGTTTGGTGGTCTCTTCACGGGGACACGCATGAAATTTGGTGCTGTGATTCAGACTGGGGGACCTCCCTTGGGAGATCAATCCCCTGTCCTCCTGCTCTTTGCTCCGTGAGAAAGATCCACCTACAACCTCTGGTCCTCAGACCAACCAGCCGAAGGAACATCTCACCAATTTTAAATCTGGTAAGCAGCCTCTTTTTACTCTCTTCTCCAACCTCTCTCACTATCCCGCAACCTCTTTCTCCTTTCAATCTTGGCGCCACACTTCAATCTCTCCCTTCTCTTAATTTCAATTCCTTTCATTTTCTGGTAGAGACAAAGGAGACACGTTTTATCTGTGGACCCAAAATTCCGGCGCTGGTCACGGAGTAGGGAAGGCAGCCTTCCCTTGGTGTTTAATCATTGCAGGGACACCTCTCTGATTATTATTCACCCAGGTTTCAGAGGTGTCAGACCATGCAGGGACACCTGCCTTGGTCCTTTACCCTTAGTGGCGAGTCCTGCTTTTCTGAGGGAGGGGCAGGAACCCTGACCTCTTATCTCTATGCCCCAATCCCTTATTTCCATGCCCCAACCTCTTATCTCTGTGCCCCATCCATTATTTCCACACCCTGACATCTTATCTCTGTGCCCCAACCCCTTATTTCCATGCCCTGACCCCTTCTCTGCTTTTCTGGAAGGCAAGAACCCCCCACGCCTTCTCCGTGTCTCTACTGTCTTTTCTCTAGGTTTGCCTCCTTCACTATGGGCAAGCTTCCACCTTCCATTCCTTCTGCTTCTCCCTTAGCCTGTGTTCTTAAGAACTTAAAACCTCTTCAACTCTCGCCTGACCTAAAATCTAAGTGTCTTATTTTCTTCTGCAATCCCACTTGACCTCAATACAAACTTGACAGTAGTTCCAAATAGCCAAAAAAAATGGCACTTTCAATTTTTCCATCCTACAAGATCTAAATAATTCTTTGTCATAAAATGGGCAAATGGTCTGAGGTGCCTGATGTCCAGGCATTCTTTTAGATGTCGGGCCCTTCCTAGTCTCTCTTCCCAATGCAACTTGTCCCAAATCTTCCTTCTTTCCCTCCCGCCTGTCCCCTCAGTCCCAACCCCAAGTGTCACTGAGTCTTCCAGATCTTCCTTTTCTGCATACCTAGCTGACCTCTCCCCTCCTCACCAAGCTGAGCTAAGTCCCAATTCTTCCTCAGCCTTCGCTCCTCCACCTATAATCCTTTTATCACCTCCCCTCCTCACACCTGGTCTCGCTTACAGTTTCGTTCTGTGACTAGCCCTCCCCCACCTGCCCAGCAATTTCCTCTGAAAAAGGTGGCTGGAGCTACTAAAGGTATAATCAAGGTTAATGCTCCTTTTTCTTTTTCCCAAATCAGATAGCATTTAGGCTCTTTTTCATCAAATATAAAAATCCAGCCCAGTTCATGGCTCATTTGGCAGCAACCCTGAGACACTTTACAGCCCTAGACCCTAAAAGGTCAAAAGGCCATCTTATTCTCAATATACATTTTATCACCCAATCTGCTCCCGACATTAAATAAAACTCCAAAAATTAAATTCCGGCCCTCAAACCCCACAACAGGACTTAATTAACCTTGCCTTCAGGGTGTACAATAATAGAGTAGAGGCAGCCAAGTAGCAACATATTTCTGAGTTGCAATTCCTTGCCTCCACTGTGAGACAAACCCCAGCCACATCTCCAGCACACAAGAACTTCCAAACACCTAAACCGCAGTGGCCAGGCATTCCTCCAGAACCGCCTCCCCCAGGAGCTTGCTACAAGTGCCAGAAATCTGGCCACCAGGCCAAGGAATGCCCGCAGCCCAGGATTCCTCCTAAGCTGTGTCCCATCTGTGCAAGACCCCACTGGAAATCGGACTGTTCAACTCACCTGGCAGCCACTCCCAGAGCCCCTGGAACTCTGGCCCAAGGCTCTCTGACTGACTCCTTCCCAGATCTTCTCAGCTTAGCAGCTGAAGACTGATGCTGCCCGATCGCCTTGGAAGCCCTGTAGACCATCACAGATGCCGAGTTTTAGGTAACTCTCACAGTGGAGGGTAAGTCCTTCCCCTTCTTAATCAATATGGAGGCCACCCACTCCACATTACCTTGTTTTCAAGGGCTGTTTCCCTTGCCTCCATAACTGTTGTAGGTATTGACAGCCAGGCTTCTAAACCTCTTAAAACTCCCCAACTCTGGTGCCAACTTAGACAATACTCTTTTAAGCACTCCTTTTTAGTTATCCCACCTGCCCAGTTCCCTTATTAGGCCAAGACACTTTAACTAGATTATCTGCTTCCCTGACTATTCCTGGATTACAGCTACATCTCATTGCCACCCTTCTTCCCAATCCAAAGCCTCCTTTGCGTCCTCCTCTTTTATCCCCCCACCTTAACCCACAAGTATAAGATACCTCTACTCCCTCCTAGGTGACTGATCATGCACCGCTTACCATCTCATTAAAACCTAATCACCCTTACCCCGCTCAATGCCAATATCCCATCCCACAGCATGCTTTCAAAGGATTAAAGCCTGTTATCACTCGCCTGCTACAGCATGGCCTTTTAAAGCCTATAAACTCTCCTTACAATTCCCCCATTTTACCTGTCCTAAAACCAGACAAGCCTTACAAGTTAGTTCAGGATCTATGCCTTATCAACCAAATTGTTTTGCTTATCCACCCCATGGTGCCAAACCCATATACTCTCCTATCCTCAATACCTCCCTCCAAAATCCATTATTCTGTTCTAGATCTCAAAGATGCTTTCTTTATATTCCTTTGCACCCTTCATCCCAGCCTCTCTTTGCTTTCACCTGGACTGACCCTGACACCCATCAAGCTCAGCAAATTACCTAGGCTGTACTGCCGCAAAGCTTCACAGGCAGTCCCCATTACTTCAGTCAAGCCCACGTTTCTTCCTCATCTGTTACCTATCTTGGCATAATTCTCATAAAAACACACGTGCTCTCCCTGCTGATCATGTCCAGCTAATCTCCCAAACCCCAATCCCTTCTACAAAACAACAACTCCTTTCCTTCCTGGGCATAGTTAGATACTTTCGCCTTTGGATACCTGGTTTTGCCATCCTAAAAAAACCATTATATAACTCACAAAAGGAAGCCTAGCTGACCCCATAGATCCTAAATCCTTTCCCCACTCCTCTTTCCATTCCTTGAAGACAGCTTTAGAGACTGACCCCACCCTAGCTCTCCCTGACTCATCCAACCCTTTTCATTACACACAGCTGAAGTGCAGGGCTGTGTATTCAGAATTCTTATGCAAGGACTGGGATCACATTCTGTAGCCTTTTTGTCCAAACAACTTGACCTTACTGTTTTAGGCTGGCCATCTTATCTCCGTGCAGTGGCTGCTGCTGCCCTAATACTTTTAGAGGCCCTTAAAATCACAAACTATGCACAACTCACTCTCTACAGCTCTCCTAATTTCCAAAATCTGTTTTCTTCCTCACACCTGACACATATACTTTCTGCTCCCTGGCTCCTTCAGCTGTACTCACTCTTTGTTGAGTCTCCCACAATTACCATTGTTCCTGGCCAACTTCAATCTGGCCTCCCACATTATTCCTGATACCACACCTGACCCTCATGACTGCATCTCTCTGATCCACCTGACGTTCACCACATTTCCCCACATTTCCTTCTTCCCTGTTTCTCACCCTGATCACACTTGGTTTATTGATGACAGTTCCACCAGGCCTAATCGCCACACACCAGCAAAGGCAGGCTATGCTATAGTACAAGCCACTAGCCCGCCTCTTAGAACCTCTCATTTCCTTTCCATCGTGGAAACCTATCCTCAAGGAAATAATTTCTCAGTGTTCTATCTGCTGTTCTACTACTCCTCAAGGATTATTCAGGGCCCCTCCCTTCCCTACACATCAAGCTCAAGGATTTACCCCTGCCCAGGACTGGCAAATTAGCTTTACTCAACATGCCCTGAGTCAGGAAACTAAAATACCTCTTGGTCTAGGTAGACACTTTCACTGGATAGGTAGAGGCCTTTCCCACAGGGTCTAAGAAGGCCACCATGGTCATTTCTTCCCTTCTGTCAGACATAATTCCTCAGTTTGGCCTTCCCATAAGATTAATTATGAGCCAATCCCATAATAAGCTTTTTTGTAAGTTTTTTTTTTTTAAAAAGAGCCATTAGAAAGCTAGCTTAGTTTCCCAACCGTCTAAAATAATAATGATGAAGATAATGATCATTATTATAGTAAAGATAAAAATAATAATGTCAATGTTAGATTGAAAGAGCACAATTTTAGAATAAAACCATAAAGCAATTGTATTCTTTCTCACAACTTCCCCTGCAACCTTTTCTATTTGCTTCTTTTCCCTAATCCAATTGGATAAAAACTAAGGTGGTTTCCACCACACATATGGCCACTTCAAATAAAATACTGACCTTTTATCACAAGAATGGTCTTAGTTCTGTTACTAATATGTCATGACCTGGGTCTCATTCAAACTCTGAACTTCATACACAATCCTCGATTCTTTTCTTCCCCAGCCATAGTCAGCTGAAAGAAATCAGCCTGCAGTAGGAGAGGAAACTCTTAACTGCATCTTCTACAGAATAAAAGCTGAGGGTGGGAGGAAGGGTAAGAAAGTGAGATAAATCTCATTCTATTGAAGCTGGAATTAAATTCTAACGCCCACAAGGGGTGATTAATAAAATCCTCTCTGGCTTAGGGAAGCAGTCAAAGTTTACACTTTTTTCTAATGCACCATTTTTGTGGTATCCTTGGAGACTCACATTGCTGGGGATTTTTTATCCTCAATGATGCAAAAGCTATTGGCTGCTTAAAACTCCCAATTCAAGCCCCAATTATTGTTGCAACTGATGTAGGTTTCAACCCAGGTTGTATATCTCATGCATGTGTATGTGCCCCCACCCCCTACACACATGAAATTAACAAGACTCATGAATCTGTGTCCATTAACTCATGGGAGTGCAGTTCCAACCTGCTATGTATGGCCATAGTCACTTCTATCTTCTCACTGCCCCTTGCATTTCCTAGGTCTAAGTCCATTATGAATATACTTTGATCTCTCAGTTTGAAAGGACAGGGGGAACAGTATATCATGCTCTCTGAACAATCTCCTTAGAACCTCTTTCACTTAACTTTGCACGATAGAACTCTGTCCAACATATCTCCCCAGTGATAGTGGCAGGATACAAAGTAACTCTATATCTCTCCCGACAGGTATTCTATAAATCTGAACTTCTTGTCCTCAATGTTAACCCATTTTTGCCCTCAAATTATGTGTTATGGAGGGATCACAGTCTGTTTTTCAGCTGTTTCATGTGTAAGTCCTGTCTAGATTGCCTCCTAACACTCCTGAATGCCTGAATTTTTGTCAATTATTTTCTTGATTCTTTAGTGAAACCTTTGCTGAACATGCCATTAAAAAAATGTTTCAGCAGTCAGATCATTTGCAGGGACATGGATGAAGCTGGAAACCATCATCCTCAGCAAGCCAACACAGGAACAGAAAACCAAACACCGCATGTTCTCACTCGTAAGTGGGAGTTGAACAATGAGAACATGTAGACACAGGGAGAGGAACATCACACACTGGAGCCTGTCAGTGGGTGAGGGGAAAGGGGAGAAAGGGCATTAGGACAAACACCTAATGCATGTAGGGCTTAAAACCTAGATGACAGGTTGATAGGTGCAGCAAACCACCACAGCACATGTATACTTATGTAAAAAACCTACACATTCAGCACATGTATCCCAGAACTTAAAAAAAAAAAGCCATACATATTCTGTTCATAGCTAATAAAAACATACAAAGGAAAACACAAAACCAACACATATATACTTTTATAATTTAAGGGGCCCTATCACATTCTCCCATTTATGTTCATATTTTGTTCCTTTCCTTTCCTTTCCTTTCCTTTCCTTTCCTTTCCTTTCCTTTCCTTTCCTTTCCATCTTTCCTTTCCCTTTAAAAAAAATTTTTTTTTCATGTGAGATGGAGTTTCACTCTTGTTGCCCAGGCTGGAATGCAATGGCACAATCTCAGCTCACTGCCACCTCCTCCTCTCGGGTTCAAGCGATTCTCCTGCCTCAGCCTCCCAAGTAGATGAGATTATAGGCACCAACCACCACGCCCAGCTAATTTTTGTATTTTTAGTAGAGACTGGGTTTCACCATGTTGGTCAGGCTGGTCTAGAACTCCTGACTTCAGGTGATCCACCCGTCTCGGGCCCCCCAAAGTGCTGGGATTACAGGCATGAGTCACCACACTCAGCCCCATTTATATTAAAATTTTCACATTTTCTTTAATTAATCTGAAACTCAAATAATTTAATTAATCCCCAATTTCCTTAAGCCAACAGGTGGTGAAGCTGAGGCATGCGCCTAGATCTCTACCTGCTAATTCTGCATATTTCCATTTTACCACTATGCCAAGCTGTCATGCAAACGTCATGAAGTAGGACCTAAGCAGAGAAGGTGCTACCCTAGAACTAAAGAGGGTTAAGACTTGACTGTGATAGGGTGCTGAGGGGGTGTGGTTAGAAAGGTGTGTACATTGAGAACTAAAGTCATTCTCAAATGTGGAATACACACCTGAGTCCCTTTGAAAAGCCCCTTGGAGTGCACTGATATTGGGGTGGTCTGGATGCAATTTTACGTTCTAACTCATGATTTAGGGTCAACATTTAAAGAAAAATAATTTTTATTATAGAAATAAGCTGGACAAATATGCACTCCTAGATGACTTTTGAGTAGTGATATCTCCTTGGATATTTTCATTGCTCTTGACAGATTCAAGGCTGCAGAGAACTAGTGTTGCCTTATGGTTTTCTCCCTGGGGAGTGCTTTGCATATGAAGTCAGAAAACAAAGGGGGGCTCTGAAAACTCCTCCATCCTTGACAAGATAACACAGAGAAAGGACCAAAAAGGACCAGAGGGAAGAGGAGGTAAAAGGGAATGAGGCATGTGACACTGGCTAAATAAATCATTCTCATTGAAATTCCATGTCATCATAAGGTTAATGAAGGTGGGAATGCTCATCCCTACCATTTATGATTCTAGCTTTGCTCCTATGTAAAATTAAGGTACAGCAGAAGTTTGAGAACCTATTCAGACAAACTAGTTTTAAAAGAGTATTCTTTACTTACTAATTCAGTACACGCCTACTGAGTACTGTTGTGCTGCCATCACTGGGCCAAGAACTGAGGATACAAAAATCAGAAAGATGTGTTTTTTGCCTTCTAAAACATATGGTCTCAGGAGTTAGGACGCTAAATGGAAAACTAAATTACATCTTAATAGGAGCAATGGAATCATCAGGTGTATAACCTAGTAGCAGGAAGCTCAATGGAAATCCCAGATGTCCTTACAAAGGGCCACAACATGCTTATGGGAGTGTCTGGTAACCTGAGGCAGTCAGGAAGGTAGTTGCCAGGGGGTACAAATTTGACCTTGATTGCTGATGATCTCCTTCATTGGCAAGGATGGAAAGATGTAATTATTGGTACACTCAATATTATGATGCTAATTATAGGAATATTACCAAGAAAGTAGAGTAAATTTTATTTGCTCTTCAGGAGTAAAAGACAGACACTCTACGTATAAAGACTTTGTTTATAGATCTTTTTTCCCCTTTTTGTCAAGTTCGAAAGAGTGAGTGAAGGTAAGCCCAAGCAATAGCATCTCTTTATTATTGATTTTAATCCTTCTTTTTATATTCTGAATATAAGCTGTTATATTTATTTGCTGTAAATATTTTTCTTAGTTTGTGTTCTACGTGTTTTCTTAATGATGTCCTTAGGTGAGAAGAAATTTTAAATTTGATAAAATATATTTCATCAGTGGTTTATTGTTTTTATTGTGTGCGTGTGTGTGTGTGGCATATCCTACTATAGGGATGTGAAGATATATTTCCATTATTTCTTCTAGAGAAATGATTCTCAAATGGAGCCTATTTTGCCTCCCAGAAAACATTTGGTAAAATCTGAAGACATTTTTAGTTGTTACAAAAGAAGAGGTGCTAACTGGCCAAAAATGCCAATCCTTCAGAGGTTGAGAAATCTTACTTTATAATTGTTATGCATAGGCCTATAATCCATTTAAATTAATCTTGGAACATAGAGTGAAATAGGAGATAGGTGTATTTTTCAGCCTTAACTACTTTACTGCCATTACATTTAAGTCTTTATCCATCTTCAGTTGATTTTTGTATATGGAATAAGGAAGGGGTCCAGTTTCAATCTTCTGCATATGGCTAGCCAGTTATCCCATGACCATTTATTGAATAGGGACTCTTTTGGTCCCATTGCTTGTTTCTGTCAACTTTGCTAAAGTTCAGATGGTCATAGGTGTGCAGTCTTAATTCTCGGTTCTCTATTCTGTTGCATTGGTCCTTGTGCCTGTTTGTTTGTTTGTTTTTGCCAGTGCCATGCTCTTTTGGTTACTGTAGTGCTGTAGTATAGTTTTAAGTTGGGTAATGTGATGTCTCCAGCTTTTTTTTTTTCCCCCTTAGGATTGCCCCAACTATTAGGGCTTTTTTTTTTTTTTTTGGTCCCATGTGAATTTTAAAACAGTTTTTCTAGTTCTGTGGAGAATATCATTAGTAGTGTGATAGAAATAGCATTGAATCTGTAAATTGCTTTGGGTAGTATGGCCATTTTAATGATATTGATTCTTCCTGTCTATGAGCATGGGATATTTTCCAATTTGCGTCTTCTCTGATTTCTTTGAGCACTATTTCATAATTCTCATTGTAGAGGTCTTTTACCTTCCTGGTTAGCTGTACTCCTAAATATTTTATTCTTTTTGTAGCAATTGTGAATGGAATTACCTTTCTGATTTGGCTGTTGGCTTGGCTGTTGTTGGTGTATAGGAATGCTAGTTATTTTTGTACATTGATTTTGTTTCCCAAAACTTTGCTGAAGTTTATCAACTGAAGGAACTTTTGGGCAGAGAATGTGGGGATTTCTAGGTGTAGAATCATACCAGCAAACAGGGATATTTTGGCTTCCTCTCTTTTTATTTGAATGCCTTTTATTTCTTTCTCTTGACTAATTACTCTGGCCAGGACTTCCAGTACAATTTTGCATAAGAGTGGTGACAGAGAGCATCCTTGTCTTTTTCTGGTTTTCAAAAGCAATGCTTCTAGCTTTTGCCCATCTAGTATGATGTTGGGTGTGGGTTTGCAATAGATGGCTGTTTTTATTTTGAAGTATGTTCCTTCAATGCCTAGTTTGTTAAGAGTTTTTAATATGAAGTGATGTTAAATTTTATTGAAAGCCTTTTCTGTATCTATTGAGATAGACATAAAATTTTTGTTTTTAGATCATTTCTGTGTTGATATTTCTTGATTTGTGTATGTTGAAGCAACCTTGCATCCCAATGATAAATCCTACTTGATTGTGGTGGATTAGCTTTTCATATGCTGCTGGATTTGATTTGCTGGTTGCTGTTGAAGATGATTGCACCTATGTTCATCAAAGGTATTGACCTGAAGCTTTTTTTTTTTTTTTTCTGTTGTGTCTGTGCCTGGTTTTGATATCAGGATGATGCTGGCCTCATAGAATGAGTTAGGGTCCCTCCTCTTCAATTTTTTTGGAATAGTTTCAGTAGGAATGGTACCAGATCTTTATTATACATCTGGTAGAATTTGTAAATCCATCTGATCCTGGGCTTTTTTGTTTGGCAGGCTTTTTGTTACTGATTCAATTCTGAAGTTCTTTATTAGTTTCTTCAGGAATACAATTTCTTCCTTGTTCAGTCTTGGGAGGGTATATGTGTCCAGGAATTTATCCATTTCTTCTAGGTTTTCTAGCATATGTACACAGGAGTATACATGGCAGTCTCTGAGGGTTATTTGCATTTCTGTGGGATCAGTGGTAATGTCCTCTTTGTCATTTCTGATTGTGTTTATTTGGATCTTCTCTGTTTTTTTCTTTATTACTCTACTAGCAGTCCAGATATCTTATGAAAAAAATCAAAACAAAACTCCTGTATTTGTTGATCTTTTGTGTGGTTATCCTCATCTCAGTTACTTTCAGTTCAGCTCTGATGTGAGTTATTTCTCATCTTCTGCTAGCATTGGGGTTGGTTTGCTCTTAGATCTCTAGTTTTTTCAGTTGATGTTAAGTTGTCAATTTGAGATTTTTCTAACTTATTGATGTGGGTGTTTAGGATTATACATTTTCCTCTTAACACAGTGTTTGTTGTGTTCCAGATAGTCTAGTATGTTGTATCTTTGATCTCATTCAAAGAATTTCTTGATATCTCCCTTAATTTCATTATTTACCCAAAAGTCATTCAGGAACAGGTTGTTGAATTTCCATGGAATTAGTTGGTTGTAAGCAAATTTCTTGATATTGATTTCTATTTTTATTGTGCTGCAGTCCCAGAATGCAGTTGATATGATTTTTTTGAATTTGTTGAGTACTGTTTTATGTCCAATTGTGGGATTGATTTTGGAGTATGTGCCATGCACAGATGAGAAGAATGTATATTGTGTGTGTGTGTGTTTTTTTTTTCTTGCTGTCATGGGGAGTGAAGTGTTCTGTAGGTGTTCATTTAGTCTATTTGGTCAAGTGCTGAATTCAGGTCCTGAATATCTTTTTTAGTTTTCTGCTTTGGTGATCTGTTTAATATTATCAGTGGGGTATTGAAGGCTCCCACTATTATCATGTAGTTATTTAAATTTCTTTATAGGTCTCTTAAGTACTTGCCTTATAAATCTAGATGCTTCTGTGTTGAGTGCATAGGAATTTAGGATAGTTAGGTCTTCTTGTTGAATTGAAAACTTTCCCATTATGTAATGCCCTTTTTTGTCTTTTTCGATCTTTGTTCATTGAAACTCTATTTTGTCTGAAGTTAGAATAGCAATGCCTACTTTTTTTCTGTTTTCCATTTGCTTGGTATATTTTTCTTCATTCATTTAATTTGAGCCTATGGGTGTCATTGCATGTGAGATGGGTCTCTTGAAGACATGGCAACATTGGGTCTTGCTTCTTTATCCAACTTGCCACTCTATGACTTTTAATAGGGGCATTTAGCCCAATTACATTCAAGGTTTATATTGACATTTGTAGATTTGCTCCTGTCATCATGTTTTTAGCTAGTTATTATGCAGACTTTTTTGTGTGGTTGCTTTGTAGTGCCACTTGTCTGTGTACTTAAGTGTGCTTTTTGTTGTGGCTGGTAATGGTCTTTCCATATTTAGCACTCTGTTCAGGACCTCTTATAATGCAAGTCTGGTGGTAATGAAATCCATTAGAATTTGCTTGTCTGAAAAGGGTCATATTTCTCCACTTATGAAGCTTAGTTTTGCTACACACAAAATTCTTTCTTGGAAATTCTTTTAAGAATGCTGAATATAGGCCTCCATTCTCATCTGGCTTGTAGTTTTCTCCTGAAAGGTCTCCTGTTAACCTGATGGGGTTCCCTTAGGAGGTGACCTGCCCCTTCTCCCTAGCTGCCATTTACATTTTTTCTTTCATTTTGACCTCAGAGAATTCCATAACTATGTGTCTTGAGGATGGTCTTCTTGTGCAGTATTTCACATGGGGTTTTCTGCACTTTCTAAATTTGAATGTTGGCCTCTCTAGCAAGGTTGGGAAATTTTCATGGATGATATCCTGAAATATGTGTTTTCTAAGTGGTTTGCTTTCTCTCCTTGTATTTCAGGGATGTCAATGTGTCATAGATTCGGTCTCTTTACATGATCACATATTTCTTGCAGGTTTTGTTTACTCTTCTTTTTTTTATTTTTGTGTGACTGAGTTATTTCATAGAGCATATCTTCAAGGTCTGAGATTCTGACCTCGGTTTGGTCAATTCTGCTGTTAATACTTGCAGTTGTATTTTGAAATTCTTGAAGTGAGTTTTTCGGCCCTGTCAGCTCAGTTTGGTTCTTTCTTAAAATGGCCATGTTGCCTTTCATTTCCTGTACCATTGTATGATATTCCTTAGAATTATTCGATTGGGTTAGACTTTCTTCTGAATGTCAATGATCTTTGTTCCTATCCGTATCCTGAATTCGATTTTTGTCATTTTAGCCATTTCAGCCTAGTTAAGAACCATTGCTGGGGAACCAGTATGGTCTTTTGGAGATAAGAGGACACTCTGGCTTTTTTAGTCACACTAGTTATTGTGCTGGTTCTTTCTTGTCTATATGGGCTGATGTTCTTCTATCTTTGAAGTTTGTCTTTTGGATGGGATTTTTTTTTTTCTTTTAGCTTCTTTGATATCCCTAGGAGTTTGATTGTGGTATAAGGTGGGTTCAATCAAAGGCCTACATTTCTGGTAAATTTGAGGGGGACCATGGCTTAGCTCAGCACTCCTGGGCTTCATTCTCTAACACTGGGGAGCTGGTATGTGAAGCCAAGCTTTGTTCTTTGGCCCCTTGAAGTTGGAAAACTGCTGCCCTAGAGGGCCCAAAGTGTTCCCTGGCTGGAGGCCACCACACTCCAAAAGGTGGTGCCAGCCAACATGCTTCATTGGGTGGTAGCAGCGGAATCCATTCTTATTCACTTGTACCAGCAGCAACAGCCAACGTGAAGTGCAGGCAAGGTTGGGTGCACAGACACCAATAACAATGGCACAATAAGGTGCACATACACCCCTGCTCGAGCAGGGAAGGGGAGGTGAGGTTTGCTTGTGCACACACTTATTGGCAAAACTATGGTGGGAGGTAGCCTTAGGTGAGTGTGGGTGTGCTGGCAAATTGGCACAAGAGAGATTGCAGTTGAGGGAGATCCCAGTTGAGGGAGATGCAGTTGAGGGAGATAGGCTGGTGCACGTTGGTGGAGGCTGCTGTACTGGAACTCTCTGATATAGTCAAGCATTGCCTGCCAGTGTAAGAACTACGATGCAGGCCCCTAGGAGGTTCCTCAGTTGGGCATCTAAGACTGCACTGCAAGTAGACACAGCCAGCTGGGGCCCCAGGAGAGGCCAGCAGACAGAAGGGCACTCAGGTAAAACTGGTCCCATCTCAGGCAAGACCACCCTGCTCTGTTCAGGTCTGACAGGTTCCCTAAGGCTAGAATCTCCTATGGGATCATGACATGCCTTGGGGGATGGGTGTCATTGGTTGTGCTCCCCTGCAGACATTCCCAAATCAAACCCTCTAGGCTCTGCACAAGCAGAAGTCCTGCCCCTAGCACCTCTCTAAGCAGCTGTGTCTACTAGTTCAAGTGTCTGTGGGGGTCATGGGTCTCCTGCTCCCAGTATTCCAGGCGTCCATGGTAAGAGTGCATTGCTCTTTGTCTCTTCAACTCATCCCTATCATAGGAGTCACTAGGGTCCAGGAATGAGTCCTGCTTCATGTAAGGCCCATGCAGTTTACCCAGCTTCCTACCCTTTGAGCCCAGCATCTTTGTCCTCCCTCTGTCCACTCTCAATCCCTTCCTTGCAAAGATCTGCTCAGAGTGCACCCGTCTTCCTAGTGTCCTGGTCCCTTGGCGGCAGATGTTGGTCCTGGATGCATCTAATCAGCCCCTTTCTGCCAGCTTCTTTTCAAATGTTCTATTCTTCATTATGTCATTTTGATGCTATTGTAAATAATGTTTTTCACTTAATTTTTTAGTTGTCATAAAAAGTTTATGAAAATAAAATAGATTTCTGTATAATTGGTTTTATATCCTGCTAGGTTTTTAGATTCAGTTATTCCTTATAGCAGTGGTTTGGTGTAGGTTGCTTAAGATTTTTTATGTACACAAACATGTCCTCCAAAAATTTTTAAAACAAGTTTATTTTTGTGTTTCCCATCTTTATAACGTTTACTTTTTTTTTTTAACTTGTATTACTGTGCTGGCCAGGATCTCCAGTTCAAGATTAATAGAATAAATAAGAATAATAAATATAAATAATCTTTGCCTTTTTCTAATCTTAGGGAGGAAACATTCAATCTTTAACCATTAAGTATACTATTAGCTCTATGTTTTTTCATCAATTTCTAATTTAATCACAATTTTGTTAGAAAAATACTTTGTCTGATTTTGTTTTGATCTTTAGGAATTGATTATAATTTCTTACATAGCTCATCTAGGTGAATGTCTTCGGTGTACTTGAAAAGACTGCATTCTGCCATTGTTAGGTATTTTGTTCTGCATTTGCTAACTACATCAAATTGGTTAATATTATTTTATAAATTCAAATTATATTATATTTGTTGAGATGCCTCTGTATTGATTTATGTCTACTCACTTTGTTAGTTACTAATGCATGAGTGTTAAATACCCGAATAAATTTGTAGATTTGTGTCTCTCCTTAGCTATGTCAGTTCTTGCTTCATTTTTTGAAGCTTTGTTATTGTGTGCATAATCATTTAGCATTGTTATATCTTTTTAATGAATTGAAGCTTTTATTTCTTCAAAATATTATTTTTTATCCCTGATGATACTTGTTCTATTGAAATCTTATTTGTCTGATGTCAATATATCCAAACTAGGTTTCTTATGATTGATCTTTTCATGGCTTTCCTTTCTTTCTCATTTTATTCTTAACCTCATCCCTATTTTGTATCTACTTACCTGTGTTGTGTTTTGCAAAATGTCTCCAGACAAAAAGTCAAATTGAATGTAGGGGAACTTATTGAGTTTTCCTCCTCATTCTGTCCTAACAACAATTAGAAAGCTGAACAGATGAAACATCAATAATTGTTCCTGGAGCAAGAAAAGAGTTGAGGACACAGGACAAACTGCTACCCCCATGATTGAAGAGATAGATGGGTCAATACAGAGAGTCAGGGCTTCCCAGAGTGAAGACTCATGAGTAAAACCAGTGCTGGGGTAGGAAAACCTGCACTATAACTGAGGAATTGCTGAAGGCTTAGTAAGGACAAGTCTGAGAGTTAAAAACCCCAGGGGGGACACAGTCTTAAGGTGACTCCAACAATACTGTGATATTTACCTCCAGGAGCTTGATGAGGTTCTTATAGTAAATAGTGGAGAATAATCCCCTCATACTTCCAGCAGGGGGAGGGGAAATGAACCATTTAAAAATATTCCAGAGCATTCTGTTCTTCTTAACAAGGCTTGCTCTCAGAAGAAAGTAGTTAACCAGGACCTAACCTGCTGGGATACTATCAGAACCAAACTGATGTGGGGGAAATAGAATACACAACTCTGGTTATCTCTAACTTTCATGTGAGAGAAGGGAAATACCCAATTTCAATTTACTCTACCCATCTTCTTCCATCTTTGGAAGGGTAAACAAATAAAATTAAAAATTAAAATAAAAGCCCTGAGAAACACTTGTGAAGTTAACAGTTCAGAGGCATAGGCTCGCTAAAAGACTGAGGTCCAATCGCAGGACTGTGGAACACTGCCCCTCCCCCTCCCCCTTGCCACCACATTACCTAAAGCCTATTTATAGCAGTTTCTTTTACCCAGTGCATTTTGTCTTTCCATTTAAAATATTACAAGACATACAAGAAGGCCAAAAGCATAATTTATATAGTTAGAACAGTATCAAAATCAGACGTGACAGGATTTCAAACAACTATAATTAATATCCCAACAGCTTTAATGGGTAAAATAGAAGGCATATAAGAACAGAAGGGCAATGTAAACAGAGATGAAAATCTTAAGGAAAAAACAATGGTAAAGATATTTAAAAAAAAAAAGCCACCATAACAGAAAAATACAAAAAAAATCAACAATAAAGAAAAAAATCTTGACAAGGTCAGAGGAAAACATATATATATTCCTCATTTATAGAGGAACAAAGAATTACATCCAATTCCTTAGAAAACCTGAGCAAGAAAAGAGTAAATGTTTAAAGTGCTGAGAGAGAAAAACTTCACCAACATAGAACTCTGTGCCCTGAAAAATTATCAATCAAAAGTGAAGAAGAAATAAAGACAGTCTCAGACAAACACAAATTGAGAAACTTTATTGCCATTAGATATGCATTTCAAAAAATTTAAAAGTTATTGAGGGAAAAGGAAAAATGATATAGATCAGAAATTCTGACCTACCTAAAGAAAGAAAGAACATGGAAAAACAATGAGTGAAGGTAAAATAAAACCTTTTTTCTCCTATTAATTAACCTAACAGATAGAAGTTTGTTCAAAACAATAATAGCAACAATCTATTTGATATATATTCTATGTATGTGTCTATATGTGTGTGTATGTGTATATATATACATATTCTATGTATGTGTGTATGTGTGTTTATGTGTCTATATATTCTATGTAAGTGTATATATGTGTGTATACATATATAGTATATAAATGTACTCTAATTTCTTGCCCACTCATCTTTGTATTATTGCTGCCATTCATTTCATTTATAATAGAATTGAAATGGTACAAAGACGGGGGGAAGAAATTTGAATCACTTTATTGTTATAAGTACTTATAAAATCTGTGAAGCAGTATGGTGTTATTTGAAAGTGGACATGGATTAGCTGTAAATGCATATTGAAAACTGTAAAGCAACAAAAAAGTAAAAGGAAAATATAAATAATATGCTTCACATGAAATTTAAAGTAGTTTTTTCCAATGCTGTGAGGAAAGTCAGTGGTAGCTTGATGGGGATGGCATTGAATCTATAAATTACCTACGGCAGTATGGCCATTTTCACGATATTGATTCTTCCTATCCATGAGCATGGAATGTTCGTTCATTTGTTTGTGTCCTCTTTTATTTCATTGAGCAGTGGTTTGTAGTTCTTCTTGAAGACATCCTTCACATCCCTTGTAAGTTGGATTCCTAGGTATTTTATTCTCTTTGTAGTAATTGTGAATGGGAGTTCACTCATGATTTGGCTCTCTGTTTGTCTGTTATTGGTGTATAGGAATGCTTGTTATTTTTGCACACTGATTTTGTATCCCGAGACTTTGCTGAAGTTGCTTATCAGCTTAAGGAGATTTTGGGCAGAGACGATGGGGTTTTCTAAATATACAGTCATGTCATGTGCAAACAGAGACCAATTGACTTCCTCTTTTCCTAAATGAATACCCTTTATTTTTTTCTCTTGCCTGATGGCCCTGGCCAGAACTTTTAATACTATGTTGAATAGGAGTGGTGAGAGAGGGCATCCTTGTCTTGTGCCAGGCATGTATTTTGCAGGGACATGGATGAAGCTGGAAGCCATTATCCTCAGCAAACTAATGCAGGAATAGAAAACCAAACACTGTGTGTTCTCACTTATAAGTGGGAGTTGAACAATGAGAACACCTGGACACAGGGAGGGGAACAACACTTACTGGGGCCTGTCAGGGGATGGTTGGAAGAAGGAGAGCATTAGGGAAAAGAGCTAATGCATGCTGGGCTTAATACCTAGTTGATGGGTTGACAGGTGCAGCAAACCACCATGGCACACACTTACCTATGAAACAAACCTGAACATTCTGCACACGTACCCTGGAACTTAAGAAAATAAAATAATTACAAAGAAAGAATACTATGAACCATAATATGCCCACAAATTTTATAACCTAGATTACATAGGCCATTTCTTTCTTTTTTTATTTTTGTTTTATTTTTTTGAGATGAAGTCTCACTCTGTTGCCCAGGCTAGAGTGCAATGGCGCCATTTTAGCTCACTGCAAACTCTGCTTCCCAGGTTCAAGTGATTCTCCTGCCTCAGCCTCCCAAATAGCTGGGATTACAGGCATGTGCCACCATGCCCTGCTAATTTTTGAATTTTTATTAGAGACAGGGTTTCACCACGTTGGTCAGGCTGCTCTTGAACTCCTGACCTTTTGATCTGCCCGCCTCAGCCTCCCAAAGTGCTGGGATTACAGGCCTGAGCCATTGTACCCAGCTAGGCCAATTCTTTTAAAAACATGAGCTGTCAAAATTCACAGAAGAAAAATTAACAATCTAAATAGGCTTATATATAGTAATAAATTGAGACAATATTTAATAATCCAAAGAAGAATGCATTAATCTTCACTGAGTTCACTGGTGAATTCTATTGAACATTTAAGGAAGAAATTATACCATTTTCAATGTCTTTTGGAGGATAGAAATAGGGAATACTCCCTACCTTATTGAAAAGGGCCAGCATTGCCCTAATACTAAAAACAAGACAAAGCTATTAGATTAATATACATTAACTATAGATTAATATTGCTAATGAACACGACTGCAAAAATCCTTAACAAAATACTTGCACAATGAATAAAAATAAATAAAAATAATTATACACCATTATCAAGTGGGTTTTATTTCAGGTATGCAAGTCTGGATCAACATTCAAAAATTAATTATTGTAATTTATTGCCTCACTATGCTAAAAAAGAACATTACAACATATATTAATAGAGGCAGATTTTAACAAACTCCAACATTTATTTATGATAAAAATTATTGGCAAACTAGAAAGAGGGAAAGTTTCTCAAATTTATAAAGAATATATATGAAAAACCTACTGCTAACATCTTCTTAAATAGTGAGAAACTCAAGCTTACCTACTAAGAACAGGTACAAGACAAGAATGTCCCCTACACCACTGTTCTTCAGCATCATCATTAAGAAGACAAGAAAAGAAAATGTCTATGGATTGGAAGGAAGAAATTAAAAAAAAAATATTTACAGCTGATATGATCACCTTTGTAGATAATTCAAAATAACTGACAAAAAATGAAACTGCTGGAAGAAATAAGTAATCACAGCAAGATTTCAGGACACAAGAATAATATATTATACAAAAGTCAATCATTTTCTTATATTCCAGCAATGTACAAGTGGTATTTGAAAATAAAAACATAGGATCATTCACATTAACATCCCCCCAAATGAAATGCTTATGT
Source organism: Homo sapiens (assembly GCF_000001405.40). NCBI lineage: Eukaryota > Metazoa > Chordata > Mammalia > Primates > Hominidae > Homo > Homo sapiens. The sequence continues at coordinate 137,394,753 of NC_000008.11, read as the reverse complement.
ATAAATCTAACAAAATATATGTAAGATCTATATGATTATGATAAAACTCTGATGAAATAAATCAAAAAAGAACTAAATAAACGGAAAAATATTCCATGTCTGTGAACAGGAAAACTCAATATTGTCAAGACATCAGTTCTTCCCAACTCGGTGTATACGTTAAATGCAACCCCAATCAAAACTCCATGAAATTACTTTACTCATACCACTAAACTGATTCTGAAGTTTACAGAGGGGAGCAATAGACTCCGAATAGCAAAGACAATCTTGAAAGAGAAGAAAAAAGTGAGAGGACTGACACTACCTGCTTTCAAGTCTTATAAAGTTACAGTAATCAAGACAGGATGCTAATTGTGAAAGAATAGACAGACAGATCAATGGCATGAAATAGAAAGCTCGGAAATATACCCACGTAATTATAACCAACCATCCTTTGACAAAGGGGCAATTTGCAGGACAATGAAGCAAAGTTATTCTTTTCAACAACTGGTTATAGAACAATTGGACATCAACAAGCAAAAAAAAAAAAAAAAAGTCTAGATGCAGACCTTATACCCTTCACAAAAATTAACTTAGAATAGATCACAGGCCTAACTGTAAAATGCAAAACTATAAAACTTCTGGAAGATAAAATAGGAGGAAACCTAGATGATCTTGGATATGGCAATGACCTTTCAGGTAAAACACTAAAGTTGTGATCCATGAAAGAAACAATTGATAAGTTGAACTTCATTATAATTAGAAACTTTTACTATGCAAAATACTCTGTCAAAGGGATGAGATGACAAGCCACAGACAGGGTGAAGATAATTGCAAAAAAAAAAAAAAAAGAAAAATTCTGCTAAAGGACTGTTATCTAAAATATACAAAGGATTCTTGAAACTCAACAATACAAATAAACTGACCCAATTAAAAGACAGGCTAAAGACCTTAAAAGACACATCACCAAAGAAGATTTATTGATGGCAAATAAGCATATAAAAAGATGCTTCACATCATATATCATCAGGGAAATGCAAATGAAAACAATGAGATACCAGCCGGGCGTGGTGGCTTACACCTGTAATCCCAGCACTTTGGGAGGCCGAGGCTGGCGGATCACGAGGTCAGGAGATTGAGACCATCCTGGCTAACACGGTGAAACCCTGTCTCTACTAAAAATGCAAAAAAAAAAAAAAAAAAAAAAAATTAGCTGGGTGTGGTGGCGAGTGCCTGTAGTCCCAGCTACTGGGGAGGCTGAGGCAGGAGAATGGCATGAACCACCTCCTGTAAGGAGGTGGAGCTTACAATGAGCCGAGATGGCGCCACTGCACTCCAGCCTGGGCGACAGAGTGAGACTCCATCTCAAAATAAATAAATAAATAAACAATGATATACCACTACACACCTATCAGAATGACCAAAATCTGGAACACTGACAACACCAAATTCTGGCTAGGAAGTGGAGCGGCAGGAACTCTCATTCATTACTGATGGAAATGGCAAATGGTACAGCCACTTTGGAAGAAATTTTGACAGTTTTTTACAAAACTAATTATAATTTTACCCTAAGATCTGACAATCACACTCCATAGTGTTTACTGGAATTAGTTAAAAAATGTCCACACAAAAACCGTCAAACAGGTATTTGCAGTAGTATTATTCATGACAGTCAAAACTTGGAATCAAGATATCCTTCAGTTAGTTAATGGATAAACTATGGTACATCTAGACAATGCAATATTATTCATACCAAAATAGAAATGAGCTATGAAGCCATGAAAAGACATAGACAAACCTTAAATGCATACTATTAAGTCAGATAAGCCATTCTAAATAGACTACATGCTATATGATTCCATATACATGACATTCTGGATAAGGCAAAACTATGGAAACACTAAAAAAAATCCGTGCTTTCCAGAGAGTTTGAGGGGAGGGAAGGATGAATACGAAGAGCACAGAGGATTTTTAGAGCAGTGAAAATACTCTTTTGCTATTATAACGATGTGTACATGTCCTTACACATTTGTCGAAACCCACAGAATATACAACAGTAATCATGAGCCCTAATGTAAACTAAAGACGTTGGGTGATCATGATGTGTTAGTGTAGGCTCATCAACTGTAAAAAATGTACCACTCTGGTGAGGGATGTTGGTAATTGAAGAGTCTGTAAAAGTGTAGGGAGAGAGAGTATATGGGAAATCTCTCTATATTTCTCTTAATTTTGCTGTGAACCCAAAATTGGTCTTAAAACTGTCTTAAAAAGTGAGCCAAGAACTATAAATTCAGTTATCATTTAACAAACAAATAAAACTCCACTAGGGCAGTTTTTCCTCTCAGAGCCTAGAAGAGTGATTTCAATAAATGCTTGACAAATAAATGAAAGAAAAAAATGCTTGGATTTTTTTTTAGCTCATCAGTATATTACAATTCAAAATTATTATAGAGGTCATAGATCCCTTTTTGCAGGTACAGTTCTTGGAATACTATTATAGGAGAAACATTAGAAGGGTTCTAAGATAATAGCAAGGAAATAGAAGGAAGGTGAGGCCAGCTTGAATGCTTAGCACTTATTACTCACATGATAAGAAGACACTCCATGGAAAGTAGCTGTTATGTACCACACAATGTCTACACCAGTGTCAGCAGGTGTACCAGGCCTCTGCAAGGCCCCCAAATCTTCCTCCAGATTCATGTCAAGCATGTTCTGCATTGGTGAAATTTCATAGAAAAAAATGTTTATTCCTATGCAGAATATGGTTTTAAGAAGATAGAAACATTTTAGCATGTCAAAAGGAGTCTTCCTCACATCATGCCCCAACATCAAAAGAAAATAAAATATAGTGATGTGAATGCAGACAATACTTGCAATCAGCAACATAAATTACGGATTGTATTAGGTTGGTGCAAAAGCGATTGTGGTTTTTGCCATTGAAAGTAATAGCAAAAACTGCAATTTTTCCCACCAACCTAATATATGCCACAATTCTTTAATTTCTGTAATAGTGTAATGATTACATTGTCATCGCAATATGAAACAAAATCCAAATTGCAGTCACCACCTTGGGGGACTGTGAGAATTATTTTCAAAACCAGTTGGGACTATGCCTCCCCAGCCATACTACTGACCCTTGAATAGGAGCAGATTTAAACACACAGGATGATTACAGCTGCAGTGCTGGGAAATCAAATTTATCAATTCAGTGCCAAGCTAAGTATTTCAAAGAATCGAACATTTAATGAATAAGTCACAGTTTCAAAAAATCTATCATAATATACGAAGTTAGGCCAGTCTCTCAAGAGTGATGGAGTGATGATTAAAATTACCACGCGGACTGTTTTGCTGACTAAGTGTGTGGACTCAATGACCACTGGGTGCTCTATAATGCTTGGATCTCTATTGAACCTTGCTTAGGGTTTAAGTATAAAAGAAAAAGAGATAATCCCCAGCATTGAATTTTATAGAATTCAAATTCCAAAGCCTAAAGGCTTCAGAAAGACATTTAAAAACAGATTTAAATTGAAGAAATGAATCTCCTGTCATTCGGCCCCTTGGCAAGGAAGATCATCCTTCAACTAATTAGCAGAAGAAATGAGCCTGCACTTTAACCTACTTACTTCTGGAATTTATCATCCCTAGTCTACCTGTTTTAATTAAGTGTATTTAAAGTTTGTACAAAAAGATTTAATTAGACTTAAATACAGTGCAGTGCTGGGAATCACAGAAAGGGCACGTACACCTGAAAAAAGCTCATCATCATGGACGAGAGTTAACCTTGTGCCCTCTGAGATGTAAGCTCTATATTTCCCCTAAAAATGTGGAAGTCTTACAGATGTTTTCTTGGCTGCTTCTGCCACTTAATCATTTTATAAAAAATAATGTCCCTGAATTGGCTCAGCCTAAAATCATGGAATATTATAACAGGAAAGAGTCTTAGTTTTTATCTAGTCCAAATTCCTTGTGTTGGTTATAAGATGCAGAGGTTTCAAAAGAGTAAAAACTTGTCCAAGCAGGTGGTAGGTCTGATAGTGACAGAGCTTAGAACAGAACCCAATTCCCCACACTCCAGAAACAGTTCCCACGTCACTACATCACACTTCAGAGTTTTAATTCTATGTGGTAAGCATTTCTCGTCAGCTGTTAAAAGCCATCTCTTGGCCAAGCACAGTGGCTTTCACCTGTAACCTCAGCACTTTGGGAGGCCAAGTCTGGAGTATCTCTTGAAGCCAAGAGTTCAGGACCAGCCTGGGCAACATAACAAGTTCCTGTCTCTACAAAAAAATCAAAAATTAGCTGGGCATTGTGGTGCACGACTGTAGTCCCAGCTACTTGGGAGGCTGAGGCAAGAGGATCCCTGAGCCCAGGCAGTTGAGGCTGCAGTGAGCCATGGTCATGCCACTGCACTCAGCCTGGGAGACAGAGTGAGACCCTGTCTCAACAACAACAGCAAACATTTATTCACTTAGAATTTGTTAATAACTTCCTATTAATGAGACCAACCATGCAATGTAATGGAGCTCTCTTATTTTCAAAAGCCACACATCATTTGACAGTTGTTTGGACAAAATACTTGGAAGTCTACCTTGACTCTTGTATTTCAAATACATGGTATTTATTTAGTTATCTTCATTTATGATTTATGATTTATGGTTAGTAGATGATCCTGACACTACCTTCAATAAGGCCAACACAAACTTGAGAGAAGAAATGAAAACTAAGGATTATCGAGTTCACAAATTGCACAAAGTTAGGGAATAAAATTAAGTTTCTCACAACTCTAAACACTCTTTGGGGTATATATAAAAATTTAGTACACATGAACAAAAAAAAAAACTTGGACAAAGTCCCAGTGAATTTCATATTCTGGATGGGGTAGTACTTACAGCACATCATTGACAATGTTCAGGTTCTCTGAATATATTTAAGGACAACAAACACAGCATATGGAGAGAGGCTACAGACACGCACAATAAAGGAAGCTTTTCTGATCTTTGCTTTTATGATAGCCTAGAGGTTTATTATCCCTTTTCTGAGGCATTCATTATCCCAAGCATAATCAAACAATTATAGTCATATGTCGCTTAATGACAGGGATGTATTCTGAGAAATGTGTCCTTAGGTATTTTGTTGTTGTGAGAATGCTATAGAATGCACTTATGCAAACCTGGATTGTGTAGTCTGTTACACACCTAGGCTATACCGTATTGCCTATTGTTCCTAGCCTACAAATCTATACAGCATGTTACTGTACTGAGTACTGTAGGCAACTGCAACACAATAATAAATATTTCTGTATCTAAACATAGAAAATGGACAGTAAAAATACTGTATTATAATCTGATGGGAACACTTTTGTTTTTGTGGTCTTTGACTGAAAAACCTCTATGTAGCATGTAACTGTACTTGAATATCTTATTAATTCATTTGTGTGCTCCTCCAATACTTACAAGACTATGAATATAGGCCAAATGCCAAAGGCTTCTCTGTGTTCTAGCTACATGGATATGAACAAGATCAAAAATTGCACATAAACTCTAGAATAAAAGATAACTAATAAATAGAAAATAATATGTTAATAAGCATTCAGTGTTGTGGAGAAATGAAACACAGGATAAGTGGGGACAGAGAGCAACAGGGAAGATTTTTTTTAACATGGGAAGACCAAAGGATTCTTTTTTGGTCAGAGACCCATATAAAGTGCAGGGATATGATAGGTAAGCATCTGAGAAAAGAATGATTCAGGCAGAACAAGACTGCCACATACAAAAGGCACAAGAAGAGACTCCATTTGGAATACTTGAGAAATGGCAAAAAGGTTGGTGTCGTCTGAGCAGAGTGAGCAAGGAAAGTAACAAAAATAAAATTGAAGAGGTAAATTCTTAGGCAAGATTATATAAGGCCTCATAAATCATGGCAGGTTATTGGATTTTATTATAATTGTGATGAAATACCATTAGAAAGCTGAAATCAAGAAAGTGGCATGAGCTCATATGTTTATTTTTAAATATATTTTCAGATTTGCAGACAAGCTACAAAAATAGTACTAAAAGCAAGCATATACCCTTTACCTAGAGTCGTTCACTTTTGACATGTGGTCTGATATGGTTTGGCTGTGTCCCCAACTGAATCTCATCTTGAATTGTAGCTCCTGTAATCCCCACCTATCACGGGAGGGACCAACTGGGTTGTAATTGATTCATGAGGGTGGGTTTTTCCCATGCTGTTTTTGTGATAGTGAATAAGACTCATGATATCTGATGGTTTTATAAGGGCAGTTCCCCTGCACACCCTCTCTTGCCTACCACCATATAAGATGTGATTTTGCTTTTTTTTCACCTTCGATCTTGATTGTGATGCCTCTTCAGCCATGTGGAACTACGCATCAGTTAAACCTCTTTGTTTTAGAAACTACTTAGTCTTGGGTATGTCATTATTAGCAGCGTGAAAACTAGTATAGTAAATTGGTACCAGGAGTAGGGTGCTACTGTAAAGGTATCTGAAAATGTGGAAGTCACTTTGGAATGGATAACAGGCAAAGATTAGAATAGTGTGGAGGGCTTAGAAGAAGACAGGAAAATGTGGAAAAGTTTGGAACTTTCTAGAGACTTGGAGGGCTCAGAAGACAAGAAGATGCCGGAAAGTTTGGAACTTCCTAGAGACTTGTTGAATGGCTTTAGCCACAATGCTGATAGTGATATGGGCAATAAAATCCAAGAAAAGCAAAGGTGATTCTTGCTATGCTTTAGCAAAGAGACTGATAACATTTTGCCCCTGCCCTAGAGATCTGTGGAACTTTGAACTTGAGAGAAAGAATTTAAGGTATCTGGTGGAAGAAATTTCTAAGCATCAAAGTGAAGATGTGACTTGTGTGCTCTTAAAAGCATTCAGTTTTGTTTATTCACAGAGATATGTTTTGAGATTGGAACTTATTTTAAAAGGGAAGCAGAACACAAAAGTTTAGAATATTTGTAGCCTGATGATGCAATAGAAAAGAAAAACCCATTTCTGAGGAGAAATTCAAGCCCCCTGCAGAAAAACACATAAGTAACAAGGAGCCAAATGTTAATCTCTAAGGCAATGGGGAAAATATCTCCAGGTCATGTCAGAGGTCTTCACAGCAGCCTCTCCCATCACAGGCTGGGAGGCCTAGGAGGAAAAAATGGGCTAGTGAGCCAGGTCCAAAACCTTGCTGCTTTGCGTAGTCTCAAGACTTGGTGCCCTGCGTCCCAGCTGTAGCTAAAAGGTGTCAATGTACAGCTCAGGGCATTGATTCAGAGGATGCAAGACCCAAGCCTTGGTGGCTTACACGTGGTGTTGGGCCTGTGGGTGCACAGATGTCAAGAATTAAGGTTTGGGAACCTCCACCTAGATTTCAGAGGATGTATGGAAACACCTGGATGTCCAGGATAGGTGTGCTGCAGAGGTGGAGCCCTCATGGAGAACATCTGCTAGGGCAGTGCAGAAGGGAAATAGGAGTTGGGAGCCCCCACACAGGGTCCCCACTGAGGCACTGCCTAGTGGAGCTGTGAGAAAAGGGCCACCATCCTTCAGCCCCAGAATGGTAGATCCTCTCACAACTTGCACTGTGCACCTGGAAAAACCTGTGAAAAAACAGCCAAACAGGCTGTATCCTGCAATGTCACAGGGGTGGTGGAGATGCTCAAAGCCATGGGAACCCACCTCTTGCATCACCATGACCTGGATGTGAGACATGGCATCAAAGGAGATCATTTTGGAGCTGTAAGATTTGACTGCCCCATTGGATTTTGTCCTTGCATTGGGCCTCTAGCCTCTACATTTTCGCCAATTTCTCCCTTTTGGAGTGGCTGTACTTACCCAATGCCTGAACCACCATTGTATCTAGGAAGTAATTAACTTGCTTTTCATTTTACAGGCTCATAGGCAGAAGAGACTTGCCTTGTCTCAGATGAGACTTTGGGTTGTGGACTTTTGAATTAATGCTGAAATCAGTTAAGACTGATGGGAAGGCATGATTGGTTTTGAAATGTGAAAACATGAGATTTGAGAGGGGCCGGGGCAAATGATATGGTTTGGCTGTGTCGCACCCAAACATGTCATGGGGGGTAACTCCTAGAGGTAATTGAATTATGGTAGTGAGTTTTTCCTATGCTGTTCTTGTGATAGTAAGTCTAACTAGATCTGATGGTTTTATAAACGATAGATCCCCTGCACACATTCTCTTGCCTGCCACCATGTAAGACATGACTTTGCATTTCCTTTACCTTCTGCCATTATTGTGAGGCTTCCTCAGCCATGTGAAACTGTGAGTCTATTGAAACTCTTTCCTTTATAAGTTTCCCAGTCTCAGGTATGTCTTTATTAACAGCGTGAGAACAGACTAACACATAGTCCAATCTGCTTTATTAATCTTTATCTCGTTCTCCATATATGTCTCAAGATATGCACACACACACAAATATTTCTGAATTATTTAACAGTAACTTGGAGATATAAAGTCCTTTTATAAGAATAAGAAAAATGCATTAAAAAATACTGTACCAAAATCAGAATAGTTAATATTGATAGATAGTACTAGTACTATAAAATTCAGCTAACATTTACCATGTTTTACAACTGTTACAATAATAATTTCATGTTTATTTACTTTTTTCAGGACTAGGATCTCATATTGCTTGTAGTGGTCATTTTTTAATCTCCTTTAAACTGAAAGTTCTTAGCCATTGTTAGAGTTTCTAGACCTTGATGTTTTTAAAGTACAGTGCAGTTATTTAATATTACTGAATTTGTGTTTGTCTAAATTTTTCTCATAAAACTCATGTTATATATTTTTGCTAGGAATCAAATCAAAATAATGACGTGTGTTTTTTAATGGAACTTATTAGAAGTCATATGGCTTTGGTTCTTTCACATCTTCAGTGTAAAATTACATTATTTGGTGTAATCAATCTTTTAATTTTACCCTTTTCAGTGAGTGTATATTGGAATATCATTATGGTTTTCATTTGAATTTCCCTGATCACAGTTGTTGAGTGTTTTTTTGTGTGATGTTTGTACATTCATGTATTTTCCTTTGTGAAGTGTCTGTTCATATGTGCAAGTTCTTAATATAGATTGGATACAGATTTTTTTATATAAATAATATCTTCTTATCTACTACTTGCCAGTTCATTTTTCTAATGACATCTTTTGTTGGAGAAAAAAATTAATTTTGATTTAGTGTCTCATTTCTAGTTTTTCTAGATACTGTATTTCCTACATTATATGCCCATTCTAAGAAAATTTTGCCTACTTCTATGTTGCAATGATACTGATATTGTACTATGTAATTTTCCCAAAATCTTTATAAATTTAGCTTTACTATGCAAGTATATAATCTATCTCTAAATGATTTTTGTGTATGGTTTGAAACCATGGCCAAGACCTTGATTTTGGCTTTATATATATTTTTGATATGTATAAGTAGTTCCAACACCATTTGTTGAAAATATTTTTTTCTCATTAAATACTCTGTTGTCTTTTAATTGACCATATTAAGTGTGGGTCCTTTTCTGTACTGTTATTTTACTGGGCTTATCTACTTTCTATCCTTATGCCAGAACCTCACTGTCTTGAATCAGGTAGTATAAGCCCTACCTGTTTCAAGGCCTTTGCATTCCTCTATAAAATCTATATTTACGTTCTCAATTTTTTCAAAAATTAGGTCAAGATTTTGTTTATGTTTGCATTGAAACTGTAGAATAATTTGGGAAAATTTGGCATCTTAACAATGTTTATATTTGTAATCTGTGCACATGTTATCTCTTCATTTACGTGGATTTTTCTTAATTTCTTTAGAAAATAGTTCATAGTTTCCAGGGCATAGATCTTGTGTGTCCGTTGTTAAAATTATTTCTAAGTTATATGTCAGAAGCTGTTGTGCATACATATATTTATCACATTACATATAGAAATTAAATATATTTTATGCATATTGAATTTATTTATGTTTTTAAATTTCCACTATGAGTGGCTTGCTGTGATAATTCAGAGATTCAAGTAACTGTGGCATATTAATTTTGTATTCTAAGCTTTGCTTAATTTATTTTTAAATTATTGTATCCTTTCTGCAGGTTTTCTTACAATCTCTGTGGAAACTATTTCATCTGCAAACTGAGGTACATTTACTTCTTCCTTTCTGATTCATATGATTCTTATTTTTCTTGTCTTGTTTCACTGGTCAGAATTCCAATGCAATGTTAAACAGAAAGCAGCCCTTTTTTTCAAAATTTATAGGCAAGGTGTTTAACATATGGCTAAATAATGTTAATTTATAGTAAATATCCTTCATAAGGATGAAGATGTACCCTTCTATTTTAGTTTGCTGAGTGTCTTTTAGTCATAATTGAGTGTTGACATCTGTCAAATATTTTTTCTGCATCTATTAAGACATCCATGTGATATTTCTCTTTTATTCTCTTACTATGACAAATTCTATTACTTGATTTTCTAATGCTAACCAAATTACATGAATTGATTTAATCATACTTCTTTTCTTCTAGTTTGTGTTCTGGGCATGCTGGCCACTTCTGGTGAGTTTTTTCCATTCTGCTCCATTTTATTGAATAATTGTGTGACATGATGTTTTGTTTGTATTGATTTTTCTTAATCAATTGTTGTGAAGTACCATTGGAATTGAGGAGCTGTCTGAAAAAAAAAATAGCCTTACACACTTTAATGTGACCTAGTTAATGTTTTCAAGGTTCGACTTTTCTCCAGCTTCTGCTGGATTTGAGCTGCTGCCATAGTTTTCACTCTGACAGCGACAGAGAAGTCTGTCATGGGGCAATAGTTGGGGCAGGGAAACCTACTAGAAGGTTCCAGCAGAACTCCAAGTGGGAAAACATGGTGGTGTCAGCTACATACAGTGGTGATTTGTTTAAAATTGTTAAAACCGACAAGATTTGATGATACATTTGATATGAAAATCAAACAGAAGAGTGGACTCCATAGCTTTTTATTCCTAAGAATTAAGCAACTAACAGACAAAACTAAAGGAGGTGATTACTGCATTGTCAAACATATGGGAGTGGAGTCCCAGGTTCTTGTTAGCATTTCATCTGTCTCTGGTGCTCATCGTGGTGCCTGGTACTATTAGTTGAGTGATAGTATCGGTATTACAAGAAACTGTACCCTTGAGTGGTTATTACAAGCCAGACATTTTTCTAAGCTCTTTTTTTCTTCATATAGTGACTTACTTAATAATCATACAAAGCTAATGAAATAGACATTTTTATTATTTTTCTCACTTTACAGATGAATAAACTTAGGCATCAAGGGTATTACTAATTTTTCAAGGTCAGAGGGATGGCAAATACTTGGTAAATAAATGAAAAAATAGATGGATGAGTCAATACCAAAACTGCTAGTTTTTGTAAAAAAGGCTTAAATTATCTGAACTTCAGAAAACTCAGAACATAAATTGGAAAACAGTGAAGTTACAGTCAGAGAATCAGTTTAAAGACACTAGTAATCCTGGCAAGATATGATATGGGACCGAACTAAGGAAACAGCTGTAGGAATTCAGAAGGGATGAGGCCTTTGAACAATAATTGGGAGGTAGAACTGATAAGAATTGGTGGCTTGTTGAATTTAGGTGGTAAGGATTAATGTAAAAAAACTTTATCACGAGGTCAGGAGTTCGAGACCATCCTGGCTAACACGGTGAAACCCTATGTCTACTAAAAATAAAAAAAAAAATTAGCCGGGCGTTGTAGCGGGCACCTGTAGTCCCAGCTACTAGGGAGGCTGAGACAGGAGAATCGCGTGAACCCGGGAGGCAGAGCTTGCAGTGAGCCGAGATCGCGTCACTGCACTCCAGCCTGGGTGACAGAGTGAGACTCCACCTCAAAACAAACAAAAAAACAAACAAACAAAAACTTTAAAAGACTTGGAAGATTGAAATAATAAGGTTACCCCCAAATTTTTGGGAGTCACAGATCTGAAATGCTGGGCTTTTCTGTGAATGTCAAAGCATGGAATTTTAGTTTTAGAATGGATAATACAAATATTCTCCTTCTATGTCCTCATTTAGCAATGAAGAGACACATTAGAGACAGGCAAAATTACATTCTGAAGTCACTGAAAAGATAGAGACAGAGTCAATGCCAGAACCTGGGTATCCTGAATTTAAATTATTCATTTTGCCATGCCATCTTATCCCTCATGGCTCCTACATCATGAGATCTAAGTAGTCATGGATTTCAGGACTCGTCAGATTTTTTTTTCCTGACATCTTTCCCTTCATTTGTGCCATCCTCTGTAGTTCATGTAAATGTCTTGTTAAAATGATACTGAGGAAATTTATCCACTCCTTTAACAAATATCGATGGTAATCTACACTATAGAAGGCATTGTGCTAGGTAGTTCTTTGTATTGCCCTCTGTGGCCTCAATCCTATTGATAAATCTTTCATTAGATGTCTGTTGCACGCCAAGTATTATCCAAAGCATTCTTCTCATGGAGTGTGAGTTTTATTATCTGCATGCAAGTTCAAGTCTATTTCATGCCAAAGTTCACATTCTTTCTGTGAGGCAGAAAAATACGAAGCTGAAAACTGTCTTCAGTTTGTTTTTCAATAATATTTTGGCTCTTATATTTCTTCTGCCTCTTCCATATCTTATGAGTTATAGCTGGCATTAGCTTATTCTCTACCACACTCCCTCTTGTTTGTTTCCTTTCAGAAAATAAGATTCTCTATCCATATACCAGTGCAAATAATGAGTTATTTGAAACAAAGTTCTTGGGAGATGCCCAGAGAATGACTGGCATTCTGCAATATAAGAATGTCTTGTCTGTGAGCGCCACTAAGGGAGTTGAATGGAAGGTGCCTTGTCAGGGATTGCTGCAGGTTATTTACGAATTGACCATTGAGCCTTCTACAGAATAGAGAAGCTTTTGCACAGCTGAAGCTGACTTTTATGAAAATGTCTAATCTTGCTGTAACGATGGCATGCCTTTTCCAAGAAATCTCCCGATCTTCAATTTGTCATAATTCTATGATGAGGTAATTTTCTTACCATCTGTGTAAGCTAACCCTAAATAGGTTTTCCTGGGAAGAAGACGGGGGCAAGATTAAATGCTAACATTTTCAATAAAGTGTATGCAAAGAACTTTAAGTACCTCCATAAACGGGATCTACAATTATTTGCAATAAGCTTGTAATGATGATGCTAATGTCTATTTTTATAAGATCCTGCATCAACGTAACTACATTCACAGTAAACTTGTCAGATGTCAACAATACGGGTGCTGTAATCTAGTTCCCAGGTTTATTAACTGCTGTGCCCTGTGGCATTTTCTCAGAATGACTGTATAACATTGAGCCAGAGGCTGCTTTTACTTCTAACATAAATACAAGAACAACCTTAATAAAACAGATGAATTACGCTGCAGTGTAAATTAGACTGTTCTAATGGACTCTAGCGGCAAATGCAGTGAAATAGTAACCAATATGATTAGGTTTACTACACCAAAGACAGTGACTGTAAATCATGAAAGACTGCCAATTTTTATCTTATTTTATTTTATTTTACTTTATTTTATTGTTTTTTTCATTCACATTTCTCACCTCTTGAGGGAGCGTTTGATTTGCTCATGGGCCACAACTTAGTAGTCTGCAGTCCCGGGTCAGCTTTTTCAGCTCTGAATAACAATACAAATGCAGAGAAAGTCCATAAAACCTGACTAGCACATGCATTCTACACAAGATTTAACCCAAAACTTGGTGAACTTAAGCATTTTTCCCAAAGCATCAGATATGGGTTTTTATTATTTGTGTGTAGGTGATATGTTTGGGAGGTCTCCTCTAAACATATATTTTGAAATCCATTTACAGGTATTTTGTTTGTGGTTTGCTCTAGAAAAAAGTAGGCAAAACTAGAAATTAAAGTGAATAACAAAAGGGGTCAGAAGTATCTTTTTAAAGATGATTTGGGAATCAAAGCTTCTTTCTATAGAAGCGGTATGTAGGGATGAAGGGTCGGGGAACAACAAGGAATGTCATGCTACAAATGCTGTTTAATGGAGAAATTGATTTATAAAACGGTCAGGTAGAGTGTCCAAGGTATTTTACCAAGCAGATGTAAGGGATAATTCAGGTGTAAAGGTAAAGAACATAGAGAAGGCAAGAGGAAATGTCAACAGGGCAAGTGTTTGTACGTATTCCTCACTAGAACATTGCCAAGAAAAAGAAAGGAGTCATTTTTTTTTTCTGAGAAAGACGCTGTGGACCCACTGGGGAGGGAATTTATCCTAAGAAAAGAAATTCACAGGCAGTGGAAACTTATCTCAATGCAAAGTTGAGTACCAGAGGAAGGACTTTGGGTAGAACCCACTGTTTAGTATTCATATTTCGCTAATGGTCTGTCCTCTAGATAATTCATGTGGGAAGTTAGAGCTGGGAAGGGAATGAAAATAAGTTGTCCCATCAAAATGTGTAAGAGTAAAGGTCATGTGGCCTTAGTAGCATTGATTTCAGAGTGTAATGCAAAGCAGAAGAGGGCCTTGGTGTTCCACTCCACAGCCAATATAGGTGATTGCCTAGAGAAATTACCTGTTTGTATAGGAAATATCCACGGGGAAAGCAATTGTCTGTTTGTAGGGAAATGCCTGCATTTATATGCCTCCTATCAGGCTAAAAGTTCTCCAGCATAGGAGCTGTGCTCAATTCACCCCTCTATCATCAGCACCTATCGTAGTAGCACATATTACAGAGAATGTCTTTGACACATGTGCATCTGACTCTTTACTGAAGGAGAAAACCAGGAAGCTGACATGGTCTTGTGCAGCAGCTCAGGCCTTTGGCTTACAAAGAAAAGTGATTTCCACATGCTGAATAACCAATATATTTGGAGCAGGACAAAAGAACAGAGGATTAATCTACGTACATGGCAGTGTTCTGCAGAAGAAAGAATGGCCTGGGATTGTCTATGCAATGTACCTGGGGGTGTGACTCAATGGGCATCTGCAGCAGTCCCTTTGACAAGGGAAAATTTGCTTTGAAGGCCACGTACTGTGGCCAGTTTGCAATGGACTGCACGAGTAAGAGCTTGACGAAACCCATGCAGAGGGATCTGTTACAGATCACACAGAACATTGGCAAGGAGAGGAGGAAAGGCCAAGTTCCAGGTGAAGCGTGGAATCAAAGCAGGCAATAAACATGACTGTCTTAGCCCATGTGAGTAAACTAACGAACACGTGTGTTACAATCACAGTCCCAGCATTGGAAGGCAAGGAAGATACTGTCCAGAATACTTTCCTACTCTAGAGGGAAAAACTTGGCCAAAGGCCAAGGTTACACAAAAATAGATCTGGGTTTGGACATAAACTCCTGAATCTCAACTTTTTTCTTAATTAATTCAATTCTTCAAGATTTTATTTTTGTATAAAACTTGAGTGCTACGAAGTGAACTAATAATTATAAGCTAGATGCTCTGCTTCCTGACTCATGGTCTGTCAATTGTTTTTAGAAGACATAAACCCCAGTAAAAATTAAATTTATTCATTTTCTTGACAAATATTTATCAAGTTTTAATTTTGATTCAGGCTGTGTGCTTCATGCTGGGATTACTGTTGTACCCAGTTTCCTGCACCCATCTACCTACAGACATGCTTGTTCAAGGATTTAGAAAGAAGAGATTTGATGGTTTTCCAATAAAAACACAATGCAATTCAAGTCCGATGGTAATTCCTAAATCATCCAAATGGAATAAAAATTTGAAGGATATTTTTGGGGAGTGGGGAGTGGTAATGGAGTAAAAACTCAAAGGCAAGGCAAAAAAGTCACTGTGATATTGTTCTTGCCAAATTTTTAACCCACTCTGCAGTTACTTCATGCTAAGCAGCCAGGTTAACAGATTTCACCTTCAGAATTAAAGACAATTGGGAAGTTACAAAAGGGAATTGTGGGTACCAATAACAAAGTTGCTGACAAAGACCAAAGTTTAAATAAAACATGTTCAGTGGAGATGAATCAATACTTTATTTGTTAAGAAGAAGTAAAAGTACAAAAAGGCTTGTACAACAGAGCATAAAAAAGTGAGAAATCAATTCTACTTAATTCAGAATGCTTGAAGAGTCACCTATGCCATTACATATGAATAATTCAGGAACAGAAATTTATTGCAGACACATATTGTTTGGTTTGGATTTAGTACTGCCCCTCATTTGACCTAAATCCTGTAAAGAGTGATATGCAACTAATTGAAATAACATTTTTCAAGTAAGACAATGCCTCAGGAGTATCCCTGTGATCCTGAAATAGAATTTAGATGATGAAGTATCAGATGACATTTGTTTCAGTGGTGTGATGTTATAGCATGTTAACTATGATGAGTGAGCATCCTCTTATCTGCCTATTGCCACAGGTTAGAAATGAATTAGAGGCAAAGGGGTCTGTGGGTGGCTTCTCCTCTTCTCACTGATGTCAACCATGCTCAAGTAATGCCCATTATTATTTTCTGGTGCTTATAGGTTGGCCAAGTAGACACTGTCTAAAGCAGAACATTTAAGCTCAGGAAGGATACACTAAGTGAGTGATGAAATGGGTATAGCTGCTCTCTAAGCAGAGTCAAACCTCCCTGTATAACGACACACAAATGTACTTGGTCCAGCAGCATGAATTTAGAAGTAGGGGACACAAGGCTTAGGAGCTAAAATGACGTAAAGTCATTTAACCATCAAGGCTAGTACTCAAACCCAGATACAGGATCCTTTCTTGTTAAATTAAAGTTCTCTCTGGTATGCTATTATTTTTGTATTTTGCTGTTGTTACTTCTTATACTACTATCTGTGCCTCTTGTTACTAGCTGTATCATAATGATTTTCTATTCTATGTCAAGCTCTATCCTAAGTACCTGATTGACCAAATCCTCAGAAATAAAGAAAATGAGGTCCAGATGGCTACACTGACATACTAAATATCACAGAGCATATAGCCAGGCTAAAATTCAAGTTCCCTGTGCTGGAGCTTATCAGACATAAATGTTCATACAAATCACTTGCTCATTGTTACCAATGCAGATTCTGATTTAATATATCTGAGCTATGACTTGAGAATCTTCATTTAGAGGAAGTTCCCACATAAAGGCTAGAGTGCACAGACTACAGCACAGAAAATGGACGATTTTATTCTGTTCAGGTAGGACTAAATAATTTTTTGAAGAAAATACAATAAGTTCCGTAAATCATGTATTCATGAATATAAAACAAATACAATCACAAAAATACAAGGTAACTGTATTAGTCATGATTTCATAGAAAAGTAAAACCTATGAGAAAAACATTTGTATTAGTTCATTTTCACTCAGCTATAAAGAAACTACTTGAGACTGGGTAATTTAAAAAGAAAAAAGGTTTAATTGACTCACAGTTCTGCATGGCTGGGGAGGCTTCAGGAAACTCACAATCATGGCTAAAGGCTAAGGGGAAGCAAGGTACATCTTACATGGTGTCAGGAAAGAGAGAGTGAAGGGGAAACTGCCACTTTTAAACCATCAGATCTACTGAGAACTCACTCACTATCACGAGAACAGCATGGGGGAAACTGCCTTCATGATCCAATCACTCTCAGCAGGTCTTTCCCTGAACACGTGGGAATTACAATTTGAGACGAGATTTGGGTGGGGACAAAGAGGCAAACCATTTCAATATATGACAAACATATAAATATGAATAAATATATATATACACAGAGAGAGAGAGAGAGAAAACCTATGAAATGTATTTCTATCTATGTAAATCAATTGGTTCTCTACGTATGTAGATAGACAAATATGTATATCTGTCTATATATATATACATGCATACATAAAGAGATTTATTATACAGTATTGGCTCAGGTGACTATGGAGACTGACAAATTCCAAGATCTACAGGGTGAAAACCCAGAAGAGCTGATGTTTCAGGTCAAGTACGAAGGCAGGAAAAAGCTCATGTTCCAGCCAGAATGCCATCAGCAAGAGGAATCCTGTCTATCTCAGAGGAGGGTCAGAATTTTTGGTCCATTCAGTCTTTCAAGTGATTGGATGAGGCCTGCCTACATGAGTGAGGGTAATCTTCTTTACTCAATCTGCTAATTTAAATGTTAATTTTATCCAACAACTTCCTCACAGACATACTGAGAATAATGTTCAACCAAGTACCTGAGCACCCTGTGGCTCGGTCAATTGACACATAAAGTTAACCATCACAGTGGTATTATTTTGATGCTAATAAATGGACTGGAGAAATCATGTGCTTCTGGCTAAAATAAATTTCTGAAGATCTTGTTCCTTAATAAAAATCTATCTAGAACTCACTAGAGTAGAACACATCGGCTTAAATATGCATGAGGTCTTTGTTGATATGGGCCTTTCTGGCATTGCCAAGAGAGCAGTGGAGAGTCCATAATTATCCTGGTGTGTTGGTATCCTTTTCTTTGACCTGATATAGATAGAATGGGCCAGGAGGCTATGGTAGACTTGTCAAAGCTCCCTCCGCCCCCCAAATTCCCAGCTTAATCCTCCCATCTTTCACCAAGTTTTACCTTACCCTTTATAATTAGCCCACATGGGATTGGCAGGGTGATGAGAGCCAACTTCTAAGGTTTTACTGCATTTCTCTGTTCAACCTGCCAGTGCATTAAAAATTGATTATTGATTCATTAGATGAAGAGTTTTCATCCCTGTGAAGGGAGTCAAAGTACAGGTGTCGATTTTCTTAATCAGAGCTAGGTTGCTAAATGGCTTTTCATAAATGTTAATAAACTGAGATAGCACATGAAACAGATAAGACATGGCTCTGTTAAGTTTAATACACCAGAATTAGTGCATTCTTGAAGGTGTTGGTGTTTGATCCTATAATGCAAAATGGGGAGACTTGGAGACAAACAGAACTTAGTCCTACTCCTGGGCCTGTCCTGTTCTAGCTGCGTAAGTTTGATCACAATTTACATAGCCTCTTCATATGCCTTGTCTATAGCATGGGAGTAATAACACTAACACCCAAGGGTTATTTTAAGTCTAGAAGATTAAAATACAACCCCAGTGTCTTTGTATAGTAGACGTTCAATAAAATGTGCCTCCTGTTTTATTTATTGTCAGACGTTTAGCTTCTGCTTGGAGGCAGGTACTATGTTAAAGAAATATGAGTATAAAGGTGGACATGAAGTTTAATGTCTGAAATCTTTGCAGACTTGGTCAATTCTCATCATGGTAGACATAATTTAAGTAGATGTTTCATATCTAGGTTAAAAGGGTTGTAAAATCTTTGGGATTGGACATTGCTGTGGTTTTCATCACAAAAGAGTGCAGCTGATTCTTAGAAAGATAAACAATGGGGGGGCACGGTGGCTCACGCCTGTAATCCCAGCACTTTGGAAGGCTGAGGTGGGTAGATCACCTGAAGTCAGGAGTTTGAGACCAGCCTGGCCAACATGGTGAAATCTCATCTGTAGTAATAATACAAAATTTAGCGAGGCATGGTGGCACACACCTGTAATCCCAGCTACTCAGGAGGCTGAGGCAGGAGAATCACTTGAACCTGCGAGGCAGAGGTTGCAGTGAGCCGAGATCGCACCGTGGCACTCCAGCCTGGGCGACAAGAGTGAAACTTCGTCTCCAAAAACAAAAATAAAAAATAAAAAAATGGTTTGCATCAGACTTTGTTCTGCTCAGAAGCAAGTTTTAAGAATTTTCAACTGTGCTGGGACTTGGCAAGCCATCTCTTTAAAAGTAGTGGGATTTTTTCTACTGGGAGCAGGGAATGGAAATGAAGGGAAGTGGTTGCAGGATCTAACTCAATGTTTTGCAGTCTTTTTCATTATTGTCCCCATCAAGAAGTCTTCTTAGACATCATTTTCTCTACTCATTCCTTCACCTTATCAAACTTTGATATTACAAATATGCTATATCTTCATTTATGTACTCTCTATATATATCTGTAATTTATATATAAAAAGAGAAAATTTCCCCCCCGCAAGACCAGTTTTTGCCATTTTAAAGGTAATATTATTCCACTTTAGAAGGTTTAAGCAAAACTAGTACTAATTATGGCCTCACCAGGTTTGGAATGAAAGAAGAAGTTACTGGGCATGGTGGTTCACGCCTGTAACCCAAACTTCATCCCAGAACTTTGGGAGGCCGAGGCAGGCAGATCACGGGGTCAGGAGATCAAGACCATCCTGGCTAATATGCTGAAACCCCATCTCTACAAAAAATTAGCTGGACATGTTGGCACGTGCCCGTAGTCCCAGCTACTCTGGAGGCTGAGGCAGGAGAATCGCTTGAACCCGGGAGGCAGAGGTTTCAGTGAGCCGAGATGGTGCCACTCACTCCTCACTCCAGCCTGGATGACAGAGCAAGACTCTGTCTCAAAAAAAAAAAAAAAAAAAAAGAAAGGAAGAAGAGTTTGCTAATTGGAACCAGTCACAGCAGGGTGACAAACATGGCCAGTAAGGAAGAATTCACCACAAGTAAGGAAGTAAGGCAGCCCTTCCCTTTTGGAAACCTCTGAATTTGAGAAAGCCATTTCGGTCAGAAACTGCTGAAAAAGAAAAAGAAACAGATAGGACAATAATTCCTCAGGAGAAGAACAGAAAGGTGATTCCACCAGACCTACAATGTTAAATAAATAAAGGTAGCCCTGTTCTTTGCGAGGTTTTTATGTCGTTGAACCTGCACAGTGTTAACAATGCATTATCAGTTAAGATGGGCTGCCTTTCCCTGTTTTGTAATATGGCAAGTGTCACTTGTTATTATTTTGTATAACAATGAGATCTGACTTAGTGTAGAGGGTAGGAAAAACTTCTTCGATTTAACAAAGGTCTTGAATTCAGGTCAAGGCAGAGTCCATAAATGAGGTGAAGTTGGACTTGGACTAGAAAAGAGGACACCGAAAGGAGAACTCCTGTGTCGCAGTAGCTTTGCAGTAGAAGGGACCCTGCAGCATAAATTCAGAATGTCTGAAACTGAAATACACCCAGTGGGCATAGGAAGATGGTGTCAGATGGTGCAAGAGAAGCGAGGGTCAGGGAAAGTAGAGAGTCGCAGCCATGTTCAGCATTTTGGTTTTGATCTTCAGAGCAGTGTGGAGCCATTGTCAGTGTGTGGGTTTGTGATGAGATTAATTCTCTTGGCTGTATTACAGAGAACAGATGGAAATAGGGTAAGGGTGAGGAGGAGAGAGGCCTTGCAAATAGAGTAGGGAATGTGAGTAGTTCAATTAGGAGAAGACTGCAGGCGTCCACATGAGAGAAAATGATAATGTAGACCAATGTGGTCTGGTGCTGGGAAAAAAAAGATGGGATATATTGAGGTGAACTTAATAAAACAATTAGTTTTTTAATTCTGATGAGAGGTGAAAGGGAGAAACACTAATGTATCTGAGTAAATGGAGGTAGCATTCCTTAATTACTGGAAGAGGACCAATTTGAGAATGAACAATGTTGAGTTTGTTCTTAGATATCTTGAATTTTACGTGACTTCCAGACAATTAAGGAAAGCACAGGAAGGAAATAGCTGCTCGACTTATAAATGTGGGCTCCACCTGTGCACAGAGGCCAATTAAGGCTGTGGTTGTGGATAAAGTTATCCTGAGAAGGACAGGGCCTATGATTGAGCTTGCAGAGGCAGCAATAAATAATAAGCTGTTAGAGAAGGGTTAGAGTGAGACAAACAGAAGTAGCTTGAGACTTAGGAGAAAAATCAGAACAGTAGGATAAGATGGAAGCAGAGGAAAATAAAGTGTTTCAAAGGAGGAAGTGATCAGTTGGGTTAAGTCTTGCTTAGGGCTCAAGAAATGTGAGGACCAAATGATTTTGGTTGAAGAAGTAAGGACACACCAGTCATTAGCAACCTTGGCAGAGCTATTATCTGAGTAATGGGGAGGAATTCCTATTGGAGTCAGACTGGGAGGGGAAGAAATGGAGTATGAGGTTAGAGGCACCTATTTAAAATAACAGCGGACTGTGAAATGGAAGCGGGAAGTCCTAGCTGGAGGGGTACATGAGGTCAATAAAACCTTTTTAGGTGCTTGTGTTCAAATTGGAAAGATTTATGTGTGTAATAGCTAGTTGAAAGAAGCAGAAGTTAAAGGGAAGAACTAAATATAACAGAGAGAGAAGAGAATGTCAACGGAGTTTGAGAAAGATGAAAGAGAAAGAACTCCAAAGCATAGGTGAGAAGCTTTGCCTTCCTTATGGAGGGGACAGCCCTTGTATTTTTATGGGTTATAATTAGGGTATCTTAGAGTATAAGAAGCAGGAAACAGAGACCCAGGTCTTGCAAATACTTCCAAGAAAGAGAAAAGATGGTTTTGTTTCTATGAAATTAAACCTTGTCCTAGGAAAGAGGTGGTATCTGCAAATTTGGGTGACACTAGCCACAGGCTAAAGGAGGTGTCCATTTTTACATTGTTTGCTACGGCACCTTAGTACCCAGACGCTCTGACAGGTGCCAGTACAGCCATTACTCCAGCTTTCTTGAGAAAATCTGAAGCCCTCATGACTACCAAAATATTCAGAATTAATATCATAAAAATATGCAGTGGCAATTTAGGAAAAGTATGCTCCAGTGAACATGAGTTAAGTAGCTTATAAGTAAAATTATAATTACCCCAAAGTTTATTTAATGGAGACATACATTATTATCCTCTTATGAAATTATTCAATAACTTATCAGACAAAACAGAGTATCTAAATTATTACTTATGCAACAATTTTGAAAGCTATTGCCCCTTTCATGGGAACAGAGGGTCTTTCCTGCATTAATTTACCAAGACTGTGTTATGTGGTAGGATGAGGGTTTGGCTTCAGGAAGATCTAGGTTAAAAATTGATGCTGTCATTTGCTCCTGATGTGATCTTGGACAAATATTTAAACACCTCCAAAATTTAGATTTCTAATCTTTCTAATGATGAAGATATTTCTTATTTTCAGTGTGGAGACTAGATGAAACGTCATAGGTCAACGATTCTAACTTTGACCATAAAACATCTATAGTAGGTGACCATTAGAAACAACGTCATCCCTGAAGGTTTTTTTTTTTTTCAAAACTTTTAACTGCCTAAACAACTTTTATTGTCCTTAATGACAGATTCATAGTTTTATCCGGGTAACAATACACCCAGTTAAAATAGACGTACTCCTGCCTTTCAGTAAGGTGTGTTCTATTAAATATAGGCTGACTATAATTCCAGGGGCAACCTGGAAGCCCCCTCAAAAGCAGCTTATTCAAAAAGGAGTCAGCTCATGCCCTTCTGCTCTTTTCCCCCTTCCTGTAATATGGAGATGACTGGATTTCCAGCAGTAATTTTGAAATACAAATTGATGCTTAAAAAAGAAAAGTACAAAGAACCCCCATCTGTGATGACTGCAAAGCTGTCACAGCAGCCCAGGGCTTCTGAGCTCCTAATGTTTATACAGGAGTTAAGCCACTGTAATATTGCATTTGCTGATATAGAACTAAGAGTTTTGCTCCTTTTTCAACATTTAACCGAAGCAAACATGCTCAACTTTGCTAAATATCTCAGTGTAAACTAAAAAAAAAAAAGTGTTACATGTTTTTTGCCTCTGTGTATTTAGATGTGTTATTTTTGGTGTACAGAATACGTCTTCATACTATCCCCCATCTCCACAAGGAGGTAAATTTGTGACCAGTCACTTTTTTTTGACATCTCTGTATTTATAGGATACTTTATTGTAACCCTATCTCACAAAAACTAACGTGGCTTTAAGCTCCAGAAGCATTAAATCTTCTCAAACCATGGGGAGAAAATAACAATTGTTATTGAACATTTGCTGTCTTGAGGTCCCTATATCAAATAATACACACAAACACACACACACTCCTTTTTGGGTTTACATATACCCATAAATATGCATATATTAAATATACATAAATCAAATATTTATGTCTTATGTACACGCATATTTATACATATGTGTATGCATGTGCACATACACATTTATGTAAAATCTAATACAGGTAATTGTATAGAACAGGTACTTGATCAACATTTGTTAAATACATAAATACCCAATTGTTTTAATAAAATAAAATTATGAGAATAATAGTTACTATTTTTTCCTCTTTAGATGGAAAACCTAATTCTAAGATCTATGTTGAGTGTCTGAAGACATGATTAATGACAATGGCTAAGTGACTCAATTTTTCTAGTTCTTACCTAAAATATGTGGGCTAGCAAAGCTTATCATCATGACAAGAATCTAGAAAGAACTATAGTATGAATAATAATATCTTACCTATCAAACAATTAAAAGATGTTTTACAACTAGTAAATAATTCAACTCTTATAACATTCTTTTGAGGTAAGAATTTTGTTCTCCCTCTTTGATCAAAAGATGAAACTGAGATTTCATTTCAGTGACTGAAACACATACATCATAGAACCAGAATCAACATTAGGGTTTACATGCCAAGTTCAATTGTCCTGCCATGGTGGGATGCAATCATGGTATGCAAGCGTTGGGCTAGAGAACCAACATGAAGCTTGTACCCACACTTTACCAGAAGGTCCTTAAGGTTCATAAGCTGCAAAGTGTAACATGCTCATCCTCACTGAACCCAAGGGCTGTATATTGCAGTTCTACAATCTTCTTCTATCCCTTCAGTAATAAAACATGACAAAATATTATAACTGCAGAGTGAGTCTTGTGAAAGCCATGTGTAGCTATGACCAGGTAGCTAAAATCACACAGAGGAAAATTTCAGCAATGGTACCCAACCGGTGGATACCCAGAAAATAGAATGCTTTACATAAAACCGTGGGGGTGCACAGTTTCATGATATTTTAATATACATGAGCTTCCAATTCATCCAGTATGAAGATGTCAAGATTCATCTTTTGAATGCTGTAGTGGCAGTACCTCTAGAGGTGGACAACTGTTTCTGACACAGTGAAAGAGATAGGAATAGTACGTGCTCTTTGATTTGATTTGGAAGAGTGTGCATGTGTATTTGTGTGTGCACATGTTGTGGGGATTCTTTGTATGCCCATTGGGAAGACTTTTTTAACAACAAGAAGCTTCTCAAGTTTATGCCCTTGCAGTTTCCCATGGTGTCGACCCACAGCATCTTTCCTTTGACTATCTCTCATACCTCTGGATTTGCCACTGCTTTTAAATATCTCACCTTTATTTTCACTTTGTTGCCCACTTACTTATATTTCTCTCTACCATTTAAAATCTGCCACAGTGCATTTGGTGAATTTATCCAGGGGGTTCATTAATAATAAATACTCTCAGAAGCTTGACATTCTTTTCTTCTGAACTTCCAATAGATTGCTTTTCTTATTAACAGATAAGCAATCAGAGTATGAGGTAAGAATATGAGTTCTGAAGCCACCCTATAGGTTTATTTTGGTTTGGTTTGGTTTCGGTTTTGGGTTTTTTTGTTTCTGTTTTTACAGTATTTGGAGAACTGTCAGTTGAAATGAATAGTATGCCTTCCTGTTGAGATTCCCGCAAAGAATAAATAGTCTCTTGGGAGATCAGAATAGATTCAGTCATGGAGAAATGGTTGGGTGAGATAACATTCTGGTCATAATCAAATGTGATTTTTGAAAGAATTTTCTCTGCATAAATTTTTAGTTGCTATTTTATTTTATACAATATGATATTAATAATATAAATAGGTGTTATGTTTAACAATATTTGAATATGCTTTTGCAGTTTTGTTCCATCCAGCCAGGGAACTAAATGGCTTGGAAATTGTAGAAATTATGATTTTACAATCTCTTACACATCTATCTGATTTAGGTATTATCATTATTATCATTATTCTTCTTATTGTTATTTCCATTTAAAAATTGCTACCAGATGTGGATGAGAGCACTTTTTATTATTTGTCTCCTAGCAACAAATGTGGTAGAGGACATTTACCTGGGTCTGAGAGGATGACTGGCCATATCTCTGCTTACCCATGTGGCACAGTCTCCCAGCTCTCCTAAGGGCTATAAACTTGACCTATATCTGCCAATGAAGCTGTTAGGTGATACCTTCTCATGGGGTCATGTCATCCTAGGAAAGATCCAAGGTGCATATCCTGTACAGACACCTTTTATACTATTTCTAGTTACAAGACAGTGTGGTGGCATATTTATTCTAAGGATAAATCCAGGATCGTATGGCAGAATTAGATAAGCTAATTGACTGACTGAAGAGGATCAGTGCTTACTGGAACCTGAAAATAATATTATTATCTGAGTCAGGAGTGTCTGGTTACCAATTTTCAAATAAGTAAAGTATTGGGTAACTATCTGTTAAAGCAATAACTACATTAGGTAATTTCACTTAGAGGATTTTTTTTAATTAATAGCTAAAAAAATTATTGGCTAAATTAGTTATTAATGATTTATGTACCAAATATTTTAAACATCTATATTTCAGACACTGTGCTGTTTAACAGGCAAGAAGATGAATAAAATAGAGACAAAACCCCTTTTTCATGGACTTAATGTCCAGTGGGGGAGGCAGACTTTATTCAAATAAGTAGACAAATATATAATCCCAAGTAGAAAGGCCTGCAATGCTGTTTCTTTCTCTTTTATCATATTGTACACTTTATATAACCTATGCCTAGAGTCTGTTTTTCTGTAAATTGACACTTTGGACTGTGCGGTTGGTGGAACGTAGAAGGTGCTAATTACATTATTTTGAATGAATGAATGCAAGAAAGAAAAGCTATATTATGAAAGGCTGGATAGTATCCTAACAACAAATCGCTCTGTGCAGCCTAACAACTGCCTCTTTCCATTTAAGACCGAAGCTAACATATTTTTGTTTGCCTGTTTTTACTTGAATACAGCAGATATTTAGCAAGACAATAATAGATGTTTTGCAACCACTCTAATGCACTCGAGGAAAAAATAATAAAATTCACGCAGTAAGTAGGGGCTGGGGTAGGGAGAGAGTCTAGAGGAAGGTCTGTGAATATTCTGGGGAGTAGCTGCCTTGTTCCCTGCATGTACAAGCTGGGCTGGCTCTTCGTCTTGGCAACATGTTTTGGGACCTTTGTAAGCCTGATATTCTCGCCTGTCCCTCAGCTCTAAGAGAATTCCAAAATTATGATATTTCTTCACAACCAAATTTGCTTGCTCTTTGGATTCTCCATGTACCCCACTGGGAAATCATAGAACTTTAACTCCCCAAATAAATATTTGCAGCATATATTTAATGTGTTTTTGGCTAGATGAACATTGTTGTGGCATACTAGAGATAAATTTGAATAAACAAAAACAAAATAACAAAGAGATAGGAGTATATGGATCAGAAATTCCATTTAATATAACCCCCTAGCTCTGCAGCTTTTATCCATGGGCCAAATCACATTGAAATTGGTTTAAAAGGACATATAGTGACTATTTAAAGTTGTTTTTTACTATTTGTTACAAATGCTCAATTTAATCATAATTGATGTTTTGTTTACAATTGTACTTGTGCAATTGTTCAGGAACAAGAGAAATTTTGAACAAACATTTTGACCCCAAACTATTTAAAATATATAATAGTAATTAAATATGTTTGTAATATTAAAGAACTATGTGCTGTAGAAAAAAATGAAAAAATAGAGACAAAAATAAGTATGCTATGTTGCTTTGAGAGTACGGATTGCTAAGAAGAAAGAGATATTTTCAAATTGTAAGATTTGTGATTTTAGCAAGAAGATAACAACAGAGAGGAGACTGAACAAAAACACAAAGGTGGAAGAGGGGGCAAACATATGCATGCAGGTATTTTTATTGCACACTATTCAAGAAAATAAAGGCATGAAATCAACCTAAGTGTTCAGCAACTGGGGGCTTCATAAAGAAAATGTGGTATATATACACCATGGAATACTATGCAGTCATGGAAAGAATGAAATTATGTTCTTTGTAGCAACATGGATGCAGCTAGAGGCCATTATCCTAAGTGAATTAATGCAGAAACAGAAAATCCAGTACTGCATGTTCTCACTTATATGTGGGAGCTAAACAATGAGTATGCATAGATATAAAGATAGAAACAATAGACACTGGGGACTCCAAAAGAGGGGAGGGAAGAAGGAGGACGAGGGTTGAAAAACTACCCGTTGGGTATTATGCTCACGATTTCGGTGAGAGTTTAAACAGAAGCCCAAACTTTGGCATTACACAATACATCCATGTAACAAACCAGTATATGTACCCTTTGAAACTACAATTTAAAAAAAGAAAAGGAGGCAACACCTCTACAGATGAAAAGGAAAGGGGAGACATTATAGACATTCTGCAAGTAGAAATATATTTAATGTGTTTGACCACAATTTTGAGGCTGAGAAAAGAGGAGAGGTTGAGGGGTTGAGGAGTAATTGTTTGGATGACAGATATGTTAGGGATCATCCTCAAAGATAATAGCTTATTTTGTAGGTCATGGTGAGTTGGAAGTGCCTAGGGGACATCCATTTGTTAATTGTTAATTGCTAATCTAGATAGTTAATTAGAAAGGATTTGCCGGAGATTAGTAGAGGTGGGAGCATGAATATATACATTTTGAAGTTATAGACAAGTGGTTGGTATTTGGAAAGCAACGATATCTCTTGGCGCAAACAAATGTAAACCTGATTTTGTTTTTAAAGGCAGCAAGCAGAGGCACCTTTTTCAAAGACTTTGTTGTTAGCAGGAATTGAGATAAGGTACCAGCTGAAAGTAACGTAAAGAGTGTAGAATGTTTGAAAGTTAAGAGGAAGAAACAAGCAAAAGTCGCAGGAAGGGAAGGAATAATGGATACTTTGAAATCCCAAAGCATCTAAGACAGAATATCTAAGACATAAGAATAATAAATGTCAGTATAATATGGTCATACTGACATTTCATAGGTTCAGTGAAATATGCTTAGTTATGCTTAGTTATGCAATTTGGAGACTTGCTTCTAAATGAACCTGTTAATTGGACAGCCATCTCTCCTAATGTAATCATCAGCATTACTACTCCTACCATGACTGAGTCCTTTATATATATGGCAAGTGGTTTTCAAAGACACATATCTAAGTGTCTTTACACTGTCATATATTTATCCTTAGTTGAAAGATGAGGAAAATAAGGTTCACCAACTTGGATAACAAATCAAAATTAATTCAGCTTATAAAGAGAAATGCCAAGATGAGAATCAGACCTGTTTGTCCTCAAGTTCATAGACTTCTGCTACACTGACTCTCATCAGACACGTCTTCCCTCTGAGAGAGACAGATGGGAATAATAAGTGTTGATATAGTAGAAAAGAGAAGAGAAATTGAGGGAGACTTTTACATGTGGCTTTTTTTTCTTTTTATGAAGCAGGAATCTAAATGATGTATTGGCTATGGTTCTAAAATGAAACTATGAAAAAGTATAATTTGTATGTCATTAAAATACATCTTATTATCACTTTACCCTTCTAAACAGATGCACTGTTTATTAAAAGCACACAGTCCAAGTGGATGTAGAAATGATACTGTTTTGGTGATGATTTCCACGGATATTTCCTGCAGGAGAACATGCAATGTAGACATAGACATCTGGGCCTGTCAGCACTAATTTTTAAGCTGTGTGACACTAGGCTTTGAACTTTCTGTTTTTGAGAAATAGCACTCCCCTTGAAGTCAATATTAGTTAATGTTAAGTTATTCTCTTTGCTTGTTTTTAATGGTAAGGCTACAAGAAGTGGTACTCTCAGGCAGAAGTCCATGCATGAAACCATTTTTTTTTCATGAAAGCAATTGCATGTTTAATCACTGCCAATATTTCTCCCTGTCTGACTATTGTAGAGTTACTATGCTACTCTACCTGATAACTTTATTTAACAATGTATCATATTAGCTTTACAACACAGTCAATGTTGGCAGATCAATATTTATGATGTAATATATCAGAAAGATGTACTCACAAAACAGAAAATCTTTAAGCTGAGGATTGGGTACTAGGTCCCTAAGAAGGAGGTATTTCCACAAAGATGTACCTTTCAAATTGGATCATGCTCTCAGGTAACAACAGTAAACATAGTTGGAGTATTAAACCTATCCAACTATGCAAATCTAGACCAATTGTTATCTAAACACAAGCTTAGAAGACTTTGTATAATGAGACATTTTACTTCTCAAAAGGTATACTTTTTCTCCTTAAATCACACTAGAATTTAATATTACATTTGTTCAATTCCATGTTAAATTCCATGTTATTTCCACTTCACTCTGCCATAAGCAGTATGAAACTAACTACTATTTACTATCCTGTTGAATTAAAAATTTGGCTCATTTATATATTATTTCTAGGGGTAGCTTTTGACAAAAGTTAATTGCCAACATGCCCAGCATCTATGTGCACAGGGCTCTAACGGTAATTACATATGGGAAGAAAGAAAGGACAAACAGAGAAAGCTGTGCCAATAAAAGGTCACATTCATTTTTCTGGTTTTTTGTGAGCTATAGTTACAGCCACAATATTTTGATATCATGAGTAGATTTCCCAGGAAGAAATTGCCACAGATAAAATGCTTCCTAGGGTCAGATAAAGGGAAACATTTTTGATAGGCTAGTGGGGCCTGAAGGGTGAATGTAATCTATGGACAAATTTAACAAGACAATATTAATTTAGAGATAAGAAAATGCCTGTTAATCGAGAACAACAACAAAAATATATATTTTAGAGGGCAAGGATGATTTACAGATTCTAAATGTGCCATGTAGAAACATGCACAATTGATAAATGTCAATTGAAGGGGTTGGAAGAGCAGAAAAATCCACTTATTCTCTATTACAATCACTTTTCAATTACAAAAATTCTGCCCTGTGTACTATATGAAGAGTATTTACCCAAACGTATCGATAGATTTGGGTCTTATTCCTTGACTATATGCTGCTTCTGAATAGGTCCAAAACTAAATGACATTCTGTAATTAATGCAAAAAATAAAATCAACCTTCACAATTATCCAAAGTAAAACATGCCCTAAATTGCCATGTACCCCTAAACCCATACATAATTGAGATCCTGCATACCTCATTTCCACACATTGTCTCAAATATCAGCCAAGAGTTTCTCAGTAGATCGGAGTCTGCTATTGGGGGTTGATACAGGAGAGAGGCAAAAATGAATGATTACTGAGTCCTGCAATGTATCAGGAATTGGACAGATCTAAACTGCATATCTCATGTTATAGAAGTTGGTATAGCAGAATTCACATGGGCTTTGGGGTTTTTAAGACATGTTTTCAAATTCTAGTTTCAACTGTGAGAACTTATGTAGTCTCATTTTTTAGTATCACTTGTTGATCTCTAAAAAAATTATAAATGATACTCCAGTTACATGTAGGCATGAACATGAAGCAAGTTAAAATATATAAGGTGCCTAGCTTAGTGTATGTGCAATGACAAGAACTTTTATCATGATTTATCATGGAAATAAATGATTTATTGTGGTACCACTCCGTGGCCTGTTAGGAACTGTGTTGCACAGTGGAAGTGAGTGGCGGGCAAGCAAGCAAAGCTCTATGGGTATTTACAGCTGCTCCCCATCACTGAGCTCCACCTACTGTTAGATTGGTGGGAGCATTAGAGTCTCATAGTAGCCTGAACCCTATTGTGAACTGCACGTGGTGAGGGATCTAGGTTGCGCACTCCTTATGAGAATCTAATGCCCGATGATCTGTCACTGTCTCCCATTACCCCCAAATGGAACCATCTAGTTCCAGGAAAACAAGCTCAGGGCTTCTACCAATTCTACATAATGGCGAGTTGTATAATTATTTCATTATTTATTGTAATGCAATAATAACAGAACTAAAGTGCATAATAAACGAAATGTGCTTAAATCATTCCAAAACCATGCCACCTAACCCATTAGTGGAAAAATTATCTTCCATGAAACTGGTTCCTGATGCCAAAAAGATCATGGACTGCTGTTCTAAGACATCGTTTGCTTACCTGTAAAATGACAAAAAAAAAAAAAAAAGAAAAGTATTTAACTCAGGAGTTCTTGTGAGCATTAAGTGAGTTGTAATATGTAAAGCCCTTAGTGCAGGGCCTAGTACACACAAGTGGTAGTTAAGTGTTACCTATTAGCATAAAACCTGTGTCATATAGGTATATTAAATTCATTTTAAAGAAAAGAGAAACAACTCTTAAGGATTTGAAACGACAATCAGTGAATAGCGAGGTCCTTTCTTCAATACTGACCTTTAAATCCCTAGAAAAAAATGACATTCAAGAGAGGATCACAAAAACTTGGACATGAAAGAACATTTAGGAAACCATGACTGCAAGAACATCCTTGAGGCTACTGAAATGAGACTCAGAGAGAGGACCCGACTCTCCTAGCCTCACAAAGCACAGGCTTTCTTATGCCTTCTTGTGTCCTGTCCAGACTTCTCATGGAGTAACTTTTGTTTCTTTTCTTCATATGTATGAGCATAGACTTCTCCATAAAGACCATCTGGCTTTGCCTCCCAAGACTGCCCTGATGTTGTATTTTCCCTCCTTCTTAGTATCTCATTGGCAGCCGTTAAGCATGACTTCTTCAAAAACAGTTGTTGCCAACATGCTTGATGATAACATTCACCAGATATTATTAAAATGTAGATTTGAAGTCTTCCCCTGTGAAGATTTTAGCTAGGTCTTGACCATAGTGCTCTGAGTTTTAAAATGATATTTTTGCCAGGCACATTTGCAAATACTACTACAAAAAGAGGCTGCACTGAGCCTCTCAGAAGCAGCAAGCATCTCATCATATCTGCTCTATTCCCTTCCGTGTCTTGTCCACTGCTTCTGCCCCTTATCTTTGTACCATTATTTCATTGGTCACAACTTTTGGAATCATCTTTAAGTAACCTGGAATCAAAGGGCTTCTAGTTGGACGGAAGATAAGCTTAAGTGGTTCAATTTACTCCTTGAGTACATATGTAATATTTTGCTTTTATATGTTTCTGTTTTGAAAAGTGTTGCTTTCTTAGGTTCCAGGACATTAGCAAAGGGACTATAACCCAAGGGGTTGATAAATGACATGAAGTCTCTCTTAAAAAAAAAAAAACTAAGAACAACAAAAACACGCATTTATTGAACAAATGTTTCCCAGTTGTCTATTGGGTGGGTTACTCTGTTGAATGAAGGATGAATAGACATGGAAAATGCAATGCTCTAAAGATGTTTCATTTTAATACATTTAAAAAAACCATAAAATTTTAACCTATCTCAGATTGGGTTTCCTCAGAAAATAGAAACTGAGAGAGTAATTTGCATGAGAGAAATTTACTGAAGAGTTTACTCAGCAACAACATTCATTAAGACTGGATGGAAAGAAGTTAAATTTCCGTATGCTTGCAACAAAAGCCTAAGCTGATCCCATGGAAAGCTCAGGAGCTAGGATGGGCCCTCAAAATAACTCAGACTGAGTCAAGTAGCTCAGGCCTCTGTAACCCACATTGGAAAGTTGCTGGATACAAGACGCTTACTCTCCAAGGAGGGGCAGTAAATCTGTGTCAGTAACTTCTGGTCACTAGCAATTGTATGGAAGAAAATCTGCTATGACACTTAAGCAAAAATCTCTTTCAGTGGCTGGAGAAAAGGGTGCCTTGCTCCTGTAGAGTGTATGAGGATTTTTTTTTTTTTTTTGCATTTTTTTGAAAGACGGAGCCTCATTCTGTCACCCAGGCTGCAGCACAGTGGTGCAATTTTGGCTCACTGCAATCTCCACCTCCCGGGTTCAAGCGATTCTCCTGACTCAGCTTCCCAAGGAGCTGGGACTACATGTGTGGACACCCACGCCTAGCTATTTGTGTGCGTGTGTTTATTTTTAATAGAGATGGGGTTTCACCATGTTGGCCAGGCTGGTCTCGAACTCCTGACCTCAGGTGATCCATCCGCTTTGGCCTCCCAAAGTGCTGGGATTACAGGAGTGAGCCACCACACCTAGCCAAGGATTCTTTATAGTACACCACAGCAGTGACTACAGTCTATCTCTTGCACCACTTACTTCTACTTTCTTTATAAAATAAGGCCACTTCACCAGATATCCTGCAGGATCATGTTAGTCTCCTTTCCTGTGAAAACTTTCAAAAGAAAGGCTAGTGGGATGAGCTGTAGCCCAAATAGTCGCATCCTGTCCTTTCTTTACTATTTATTCTAGGTACCCCTTACCCTCAGATAGCAGCTGTGCCATTTTACATGGCATACATGTAGAGGTAACATACACCCTTTTCCTGAAGGCTCTGAACTATTGATCATGTTCTCCTTTGGCTGTAGCTTTAGTACTTGTCGATCATTAAAACTGGGCCACAGTTCAAGATGCACACCGGTGGGTCACCTCAGTGAGAAATATATTCTCTCACTCCCACACCACTGTGGAACAATAGCCCTGATAATCAGAGTCAATTACCTTGGCCATGTTGATGACACTGTCACTTGCCTACAGCTCTGTGGGAGCAAGAAGCCCACAATGTCCAGAAAATAGCTATGGATTAAGGTTTGAAGATATTCTTGTACAATTGCCTGATGGGAGCAATCTTCCTAAAGAAATCCAGACCTTTCGCTCCACAGAGCCTAGTGTTGTAGAAACAGAAAAGCACAAATCCTCTGAAGTGGATCACAAGGGGGATGATAAGTAGGACCACTCCTATTTCTACCTTTTGGTTTATTTTTCCTGTGTATTCTACCTACTGAGGACACAGCTCCAGTGGTGAGCAGCCTATAAGATGGCCCTCGACAATCCCTGTCTCTTGATGTCACATCCTGATATAATCCTCTCCTCTTGAATGTGGGCTGCTCTTAATGACGTTTGATGAATAAATGAATAGAATATGGTTGACTTGGTGGGGCATAATTTTTGATATTGAGTTCTAAAAAGGCATTGGCTTCTGTCTTGGGTCCATGCTCCTTGCTCTTGAACTACTTGCTCTGAAATAACAAAACACATGAACTCATAAAACACATGAACCCCCATGTGTTCATGACACTCAGCCTTCAGAGAGGCCCATCTGGCAAAAATAAAATAAAATAAAATAATAAAATACCTGAGATCCTTATTTGAACAGCTTGAGAGAAAGTGTTTTACACTAAAAACCATGGAAGACAGATTTGAGGTGAATTTTCAAACCCCAGGAAAATCTTTAGATGACCACAGTTCTGACCAATAGCCACCTATTGTGGCTTGCCAGAAGTCACACATGACATCTTTTCCATCCGTAGCTATCACAGTGTATGCAGGGGCATATAATTCAGTGGCAAAGCTGCTTGCATCAGAGCCTTGATCTGCTGCAAAACCTTTGACTACACTTGACCACACTCAAAGTTTATTGTCTTTCATGTCATTCAGAAAATTAGCCTGAGTAGCATTCTCAGAATTCCCTGATACCTGGGAGCCGAATGTGGTTTATCAGGCATTGTGTTTCTTTCTTCATGATGAAAGTTGTGAGGTGCAATAATTTGACATCTACATTGCAATGGATGTCTCAGAACTGAGCATGACTGGAGTGATAAAAACTTCACTGGTGCAGTAGGTCTGAGAATCTTTGTAGCATCTCTTTCTTACCTTTGGAAGTGCAAGAGTCTTCAAAAATTTTTTACTTATTGCAAGTTTGGTCCCAGTATCATGATGCCTTTAATATAGTAGACACGTGATGTTTTGCAATATATTTGAGTGTCCCAGGTCACTTTAGAGTATACTATAACAGAGAATGCAAGAGTTAACATAGCTCCAGGGAAAGACTATAAACATATACTGTCTATATGAATGTGAACAGCATGTAGTTCTCCTTTATGATAGGTATAGGAAAATGTGTTTTCAAAACCAATGACTGCATACCATGTACCTGAATTTTAACTAATATGCTCCAGTCAGGAGGCCATATCTGGCACAAAAGCTACAATAGGATCGACTACTTGTGAGTGTTCGCAGTAGTCCCTGCTATCCTGCAAGGTCATTCTGGTTTTTCACTAAATGAGACTATAATGAAGACTACAACCCTTGCATACTTTAGGTTTGTGGTCCCCAACTTTTTGGCACCAGGGACCCGTTTCATGGACACAATTTTTCCACAGACCAGGGTTAGGGGGTGAGGAGGTATGGTTTGGGGATGAAACTGTTCCACCTCGGATCATCAGGCATTAGCTAGATTCTCATAAGGAGTACACAACCTACATCGCTTGCATATGCAGTTCACAGTAAGTTCCCACTTCTATGAGAATCTAATGCCGCCGCTGATCTGACAGGAGCTGGAGCTCAGGTGATAACGTGAACAATGGGAAGCAGCTGCAAATACTCATGCATCTTTGCTCACTCACCCTCTGCTCACCTTCTGCTGTGCGGGTCTGTTCCTAACAGGCCACAGATTGGCATGGGTCCATGGTCCAGGGTTTGGGAACCCTGCTTTGGCAAGTAATCTCCACCATTCCTCCTATGATAAAATGTTATTTTTTATTTACTATTTTGACTAAGGAGAGAGAGTGTCAGATACTTTCACTTGGCATTTTCTAGTATAATACTATTTAATCTAGAGGTCAAGGAAATGATGTTTCTTCTAACTACCGAGCATGTCCATGCCAGTGATATATGTAGAAACAAGAGTAATTATCACTGGGTACATTTGTGGACTTAGTGCATTCCTTGTGAGCCAAAACTTGGCCAACATTATTTGTGTTACCCGGCTTTTATTTACTTCCACTGTAAAGTTAACCAAATAAGTTATCATCAATCTCTTTGGTAAATGATTGGAAAAAGAACTGACACATGTTTCCATGGTATTTCAGGGTCCTTCCTCATGAGGACCTGGTTTTCCTTTCAGTCTATGAATTCTGGTTTGAAAACTGCCTCATATCTGGAAATGGTGAAGGATTCTTACTTTTTACCAGTGTACTGATCCAGCTTTATTTACTTTGATAATGTAAATTGAGCAATACCCTTTCCAGACATCCACCTACCTCACTTGCCCCTGAAATCACCCTGTTCTATTAATTATCTCAATAGCTCTCAGTGGGTCAGCTCTTTTTTTGAGACAGAGTCTCACTCTGTCACCTAGGCTGGAGTGCGGTGGTACAATCTCGGCTCACTGCAACCTCTGCCTCCTGGGTTCAAGCGATTCTCTTGCCTCAGCCCCCCAAGTAGCTGAGATTACAGGAACGTGCGCCATGCCTGGCTAATTTTTGTATTTTTAGTAGAGACAGGATTTTGCCATGATGGTCAGGCTTGTCTCAAACACCTGGCCTCAAGTGATCTGCCCCCCTTGGCCTCCTGAAATCCTGGAAGTACAGATGTGAGCCACTGTGCTCAGCCAGTGGGTCAGATCTTTCTGGCTGCCCCACCAACCTTGAAACTTATTGAGATAATTGCGCCTACCTGGTTTTTTTAATGGTTATGTGCCACCACTTGGTCTCTATTATTTGGACTCTTATCTCTACTGTTATCACGAAGCCAAGTCTCTAACAGTATCTCTTACAAAGACAAGGGCCATCTATAAGCTTCCCAGTGATGTTGGTGCCCCCCTCACCAGCACATTGCCATTGCATTGGTAATCAATGTCTTCAGGGCCTTTCTTCAGAGGAGAGTTGACTGATGGGCTTTCTGGCCTTATAAAGAATACCCACTCTGGCATTACTATGTCTTTTGATCCCTCTTTCTATGATCTGCCGTAGCAGATTTGGAGTTTGCACTTTATTTAGTGTGGACCATCACTTTCCCCAAGTCTCCACGATATCCTAGCCATGTGATCCCATCAACTCCAGGAACTTTGCCAGGGTATAAAATTCCCTTTGTCCTGAGAGTGCTCTCATGTTGATAAACTCACTCACTCAACTTTATGTTCTGCTCCTACTCAATTTTGCATATTAAGGATCCAGTCTGAAAGCACACTCACCCAGTTGTCACAGGTCCATGTTGCTTAGATTTTGAAGCATGTTTAACAGGAACTTCATTTCTCTCTTTTCAGACCCAGCACTTTTGGTCAGAGTGAGTGTGGTTCCAGTTATTTGTTGGGCATTAGGGGGAGAAATGAAAGTAAATCCTGAAGGGGCATATGTGTTGTCATGTAGGTCAGATGTCTCTGTATTGTCTCCAAGCAAAGGAGCATCACTAGCCTGCATCCATGCAGATTGTTCAGAAGACTCTTAATATTCAAGGATTTTGAGTGCTATTACTTACATATCTCTCTATGTAGTCTCTGAGTCACATTTCTTCTTCCTCATCGGGCCTCTGACCTTGGCATAGCAGCCTTACAGGGGACCGAAAATTCAACCTTCCCGGGGCTCCATTACATTTATAATTACATTTTATCCTGATCCTTACATTTTTATGTATTCTAACTCCAAGAGAGGTGAATCTCTTTATATGGTGCCAAGGAAGCTGTCTGTTTTCCACATGTTTTCTTGAATTATTGATTAATGACCACAAGCCTTTTACTGACTTGTTCCAACACTTTCAAAGCACTTAGTGAGAGTCATTCAATCCATTTTTCTTACAATTACTTTCTTTCACTGAATTCAAATACCTGAGATATTGCAGAAAAGAGTGTATTCCCTTCTACTGGTTCTCATTCCACGTTACAACCAGAAAATTTTCGTGTTTGCAGTGTTACAGCCTGTAAGAGCCTATTAGTAATCCAACCACCACCAATGGTAAGGGCCTTTATGCCAGCCAGTCAACAAGTAATGCAGCTCCAAAATCCCATTTAGATTCAGTTTCTTTGGTCCACTCACATTTCAAAGTCTCTTAGGTGATGTTCTCCAGGGAATAGGCTCTAAATTGAAGACTTGTGTGTGAGAAGTTCATTAGGAAGGACTCTCAGGAATAATGCTGCTAAGTAGTGAGAGAAGCAGAACTGTATAGAAGCATTGAAATGTGATATAGCTACAACAAAAGGCTCAGCTGGTCACATGCAGTGTTCTGGGGTTGGAATTGGCCCTTGAGATGTCCTTAAATGATATATGTATCCTGGGCCATCTTACCTGTGCATCTGTGCAGGGAGATGTAACCTTGGGTGATGGAACTCCCTTCTGCAGAAGGCCAATTCCCGGGAGAGACTCAGTTATGAGTCATCAGCAGACTATAGTCCTGGAAGCTGGGGGAATTTGAGTCCTTGTCATGAAAAGAGAGGAAGGTTCTTCAAGGATCACCAGAACATCTTCTACAATAACAATGTAGTAGAGACTGAAAAGACAAGCAAGAAATCACTCCTGATGAAGACTGTTTATAAAATTTCCCTGACCACATCCTGGTAGGTGGTTGACAAATGTTTTTCTTTAAGGGAGACATAACTCAAAACTGGCAGCTGACTCTGACTATAAGCTTTAAATTCAGATAGATCAGTATCCAAGCTCTGAGTCTGCGGCAAAGTGCATAATTCTGGAGTCTTCTTTTGCCTTATATATAAAATGACAACCATTCTACTTACATTATAAAGCAGAATTGAGGATTAGAAAGATGATATAAGACAAGCACAATGGTCAGCAAGTGGTAAGTACACCACAAATAATGAGTGGATATTTTTTTCTATATTTTTGCCCATTGTAAAACTGACCCCTTGATGAATTCAATACCATTAGAGAGACAATTGTAGCAGGTAATACATGGGCTGAGATTCAGACTTAGAAGGTGTGCTGGGGTTGCAGTGCAGATTCCACCACTTGTGTCTCTTCATTTCCTTGGCATGATTCACTTCTCTGATATATTCTTTCTAATATTTAAAGTGAGTTACTTATTTCCAGAAATCCTTTATTCAACTTTGTTTTTCCATCATCTGTGAAATGAGGATTAATAAAGTGCATCTCACTGAGTTACGGAGAGTCAAGTAAGGTCACATATGGAAACATAATTTATAAACTCTAAAGGTTATGGGACTATGTTATGAATAATAACAAACAGCCCTGTGGTACAATACTTTAAAGCTAAACCCCAGGCTTAGTATAATAGTAAATATAAACTATACTTTCATTTAAAGACCCCATTTTTCCGTTATTTTTATTTACGTCTGTGTCTCACTAGGATCACCACCTCTTTTACTGTTAGTATTCCAGCCTTATTTTTCTCATGTAAAACAGTTTACAGGGTAGTAGGTCATACAGATTCCAGGCACATCGTTGCATACATTAACTTGCTAGGTAACTGTAAATAACACATTATCCCTAGCTCTTCTATTTTCTTTTTGTAAAATATATAAATTATTATGAATGATTTTAAAAGCTTTGTAAAATTATTTTTCTCATGATAGTCTAGATATGAGCTTTATTTGGGGAAGGGTGCATGTTTATGTGATAAAAAGTAGCTATGCCATCAATTCTACATATATTTTATAAAATCTTAGAACACTTCATTCAAAATTCAGGCAGTTGGTGAATCTAAATGGATTTCAGTCTACCTCCAGAAATATCCGCCAAGCGGCAGACATTAGATACCACTTTGCCCAGATCTCTAATTGTGAAGATAAGTCAGAATACTGGTCATTCTTTAATGAGATCTCCAATTTTAAAATGTTCGTCACTGTGCCGAGGACTGCTTGGCCACTAGGACAGTTTTCACAACTCAGGTTCCTGTCCAGCATTCACATACAGCTCCAATACACTCTTCATGTCTTTCCCATGTCCATTTGGGCTGGAAAGTCGCATACCTCAGAAGCCTTGGGAAACTCACAGCAACCCTGGGCTTAAAGTGTCCTCTAGTGCTAAGATGGCTGTGATGATCACAAGCTCAGGGAACACAACAATTAGTAGGCTTAGTATTGCTGGAAGGCCCTCTGGAGAAGGAAAGGCACAAAAAAAGCCAGACTGTGAAAACTAAAATAATCTGTCAATTAGCGGACATCATCCCACTCCCATGAGCATCAGAAAAGTTCAGGGAAATATGACTTTATCAAATGAACAAAATAAGATACCAGGAGCTAACTCTAAATTGATGGAGATGTATGACCTCTCAGACAAATAATTCAAAATAGCTATTTTAAGAAAGCTTAGTAAACATCAATAGAATATAGAGAATTGATTCAGATATTTATCTGAGAAATTTAACTGAGATTGAAATAATAACAAAATTAAACAGAAATCCTGGAAGTGACAAATACAATCAATTAAATAAAAAGTGTAATAGAGAGTATCAAGAGCAGAATTGATCAAACAGGAAAAAGAATCAGTGAGTTCAAAGACAGACAATTTGAAAATACAAAGAGAAGAGTAAAGAAAAAAAGAGTGAAAAAGAATAAGCAAAGTTCATGGGATCTATGGGATAACATGAAAATTGCACATATTTGGTTTGTTGAAGTTGAAGAGATAATTGAGAAAGACAGAGGGCTAGAAAGTTTATTCAAATAAATAATAATAGAAAACTTTCCAAATCTAAAGAAAGACATAAATATCCAGATACAGGAACTTCAAATGTCACCAGATTCAACCCATAGAAGAATATTGCATGACATAATACAATGCAATTCACAAAAGTCAATGACAAAGAAATGATCCTGAAAACAATGAGAAACAAAGAAGCAAATAACATGTAAGGGAGATTCAAAACACCTGGCAACAGACTTTTCAGGAGGGAGTGGGAAAATATATTTTGAGTGCTGAGGAGGGAAATATGTCAGCCAAGAATACTGTACCCAAAAACGTTATTCATCAGAAATGAAAGAGAAAGACTTTCCCAGACAAACAAAACCTGGGGAATTTATTGTTGTCAGACTGGTCCTACAAAAAAATGCTAAAGAAATTTCTTCAAACAATAATAATGGAATGCTAATGTGATTGTTATAATAATATTAGAATCATGGCCTTTAAATGACTTGTGTCTTAAATAAGAAGACTGAAAGATAAGGCTACTAAAATTATAATAATATAACCTTTTATTAAGGAGATAGTGAATACAAAAATAAAAATAGTAATAAAAAAGTTTTAAATCTGCAGAGAGAAGAAAGTTATTGTGTAGTTTTGTTTCATGTTTTACATTTTAACATTTTTGTAGTGAAAGTTAAGTTGGTATGAAATTTAAATACTTGTTATAAATATAAACTATTTGTGTAAGCCTCATGGTAACTGCAAGGTGAACCCTATAAAAGATACACTAAAAATAAAAGGCAACAAATCAAAACTATTATCAGAGAAAATCACTTAAGCATAAAAGAAGAGAGTAAGAAATGGAGAGAAGAGTTACACAACAACTTGTAAATAAGTAACAATGTGAAAATACTAACATCTCACCTATCAATAATAACACTGAAAGTAAATTGACTAAATCCTCCAACTAAACAACAGAGTGGCTTAATGAATTGAAAAATAATGCTTAGCTGTATGATGCCTGTAAGAAATTCATTTCAACTATAAAGACACATATGGACTGAAAGTGAAAAGATGGAAAAAGATATTCCATGCATATTTAACACAAAAAGAGCAGGAGTAGCTATACTTAGATAAAATACACACTAACTGAAAAAATATGAAAAGAGGCAAAGGTTATTATATAATGATAAAGGTATCAATTCAGCAATAAGACACAACTATACTAAATATATAGGCAACTAAGACCCAAACAACAAAGTATATAAAGCAAATATTAATAAATCTAAAGGGAGAGATAGACTGCAATATAATAATAGAACACTTCAATACCTCATATTTGACAGTGGACAGATTATTCAGATAGAAAATCAACAAAGAAATATTGGACTTAACCTGTATTCTAGACCAAATGGCCCTAACAGACCTGTACAAAATGTTGCATTCAACTGCTACAGAATACACATTTTTCTCATCAGGCACTTGGAATATTCTTCAGGACAGACCATGTTAGGCCACAAAATAAGTCACAAAAAAATACAAAATATTTGAAATCATATTATCATCTATTCTGACAACACTCAATAAAACTGGAAATCAGTCACAAGAGACACTTTGGAAAATATACAAATAAATGGAAATTAAACAAAATGCTTCCAAACAACCAATGAATCAATGAAGAAATTAAGAAGCAAATTTGAAAAATGTCTTGAAATAAATACAAATGGAAACACACCATAACAAAATCTGTGGGATAAAAGTGGTACTTAGAGGGAAAATTGTAGCAATAAATAGGTACATCAAAAAATAATACTCCCCAAGTCCTTAATTATGAATAATAACATTGAATGTAAATGCACTAAACTCTCCAATCAAAAGACATAGAGTGGCTGAATGGATGAAAAAGCAAGAACCATTGATCTGTTGTCTACAAGAAACATACTTCACCTAAAAATACGCACACAGACTGAAAATAATGGGATGGAAAGAGATATTTTATACCAATTGAAACCAATAAAAGCAGGAGTAGCTACACTCATATCAGATAAAACTGATAACAGATTTCAAAACAAAATCTATCAGAAGAGACAAAGAAGGTCACTATATAATGATAAAGGGGTCAATTCAACAAGAGGATATAACAATTTTAAATATACACACACCCAACACTGGAGCACCCATATACATAAAGAAAATACTATTAGAGCTAAAGAGAGAGATAGGCTTCAGGAATAGTTGGAGACTTTAACATCCCACTTTCAGCATTGGACAGATCTTCCATACAGAAAATCAACAAATAAACTTTGGACTTAATCTGAACTATAGACCAAATAGATTTAATAGATAATTTCAGAGTATTTCATCTAACAGCTACAGAATACACATTATTTTCTTCAGTACATGAATTATTCTCAAGGATAGAATATATGCTAGGCCACAAAACAGGTCTTAAAGCATTCAAAAATTGA
The DNA here is from genome assembly GCF_000001405.40 of Homo sapiens. Classification (NCBI taxonomy): domain Eukaryota; kingdom Metazoa; phylum Chordata; class Mammalia; order Primates; family Hominidae; genus Homo; species Homo sapiens. The sequence goes on along the minus strand of NC_000008.11, from coordinate 137,351,052 downwards.
AATTATATCAAGCATCTTCTCTGAGCACATTGGAATAAAGCTATCCCATGTTCACTGATTGGAAAAATTAAAACTGTTAAAATATCTATACTCCCCCAAAAAATCTATGGCTTCAATGCAATTGCTATAAAAATGCCAGTGACAGTATTCACAGAAATAAAAAAATAAGAAATGTCATATAGAACTAGAAAGACCGTAAATAACTTAAGCAATCCTGAGCACAAAACACAAAGCTGCCACTCCTACTCAACATAGTACTAGAAGTGCTAGCCAGAGCAATCAGAAAAGAAAAAGAAATAGAGGGCATCCAAATAGGAAGAGAGGAGATCAAACTGCCTCTGCAGATGACATGATTCTACATCTAGAAAGCCTGTCTTGATGCAAAAGCTCCTTTAGCTGATAAACAACTTCAGCAAAGTTTTAGGATACAAAATCAATGTACAAAAACATTAGCATTCCTATACAGCAATGACAGCCAAGCTAAAAACCAAATCAGGAATGCAGTTTTATTCACAATTGCCACGAAAAGAATAAAATACCTAGGAATACAACTAATGAGGGAGGTGAAAGATCTCTACAATGAGAATGATAAAACACTGCTCAAAGAAATCAGAGAAGACTCAAGTGGGAAAATGTCCCATGCTCATAAATTGGAAAGATAAATATCATTAAAATGGCCATACTGCCCAAAGTAATTTACGGATTCAATGCTATTTCTATCAAACTATCAATGGCATTCTTCACAGAACTAGAAAAATATGATTTTAAAATTCACATGAAACCAAAAAAAATCCCTAATAGCCAAGGGAATCCTAAGCAAAAAGAATGAAGCTGGAGGTGTCACATTACCTGACTTCAAACTATGCTACAGGGTTACAGTAACCAAAACAGCATGGTACTGACACAAAAACAGACACATAGATCAATGGAACAGAATAGGGAGCCCAGAATTAAGGCTGCACACCTATGATCCTTTGATCTTTGACAAAGTTGACAAAAGCAAGCAATGAGGAAAAGACTCCCTATTCAGTAAATGGTGCTGGGATAACTGGTTAGCCATATGAAGAAAATTGAAGCTGGACTCCTTCCTTACACAATATACAAAAATCAATTTAAGATTGATTAAAGACTTAAATGTAAAACCCAAATCTATAAAAACCCTGGAAGACAATATAGGCAATACCATCCTGGACACAGGAACAGGAAAAGATTTAATGACAAAGACACCAAAAGCAATTGCAACAAAACTAAAAATTGACAAGTGGGATCTAATTAAACGTAAGAGTTTCTTCACATCAAAAGAAACTATCAACAGAGTAAACAGATAATCTACAGAATGGGAGAAAATATTTGCAAAGTATGCATCTGACAAAGATCTAGTATCTAGCATAAATAAGAAACTAAACAAATTTACAAGAGAAAAGCAAACAATCCTATTAAAAAGTGGTCAAAGGACATGAACAGACATTTTTAAAAGAAGACATGCATGTGGCCAATGAGTATATGGAACAAAAGTTCAATATTACTGATTATTAGATACATGCAAATCAAAACCACAATGAGATACCATATCATACCGGTCAGAATGGCTATTATTAAAAAATAAAAAAAACAGATGCTGATGAGATTGCAGAGAAAATGGGACATTTATACACTGTTAGTGGCAGTGTAAATTAGTTCAACTATCATGGAAAGCAGTATGATGATTCCTCACATAGCTAAAAGCAGAACTACTGTTCAACCCTGCAATCCCTTTACTGGGTACATAGCCAGAAGAATAGAAATCATTCTATTATGAAGACACATGCACATGAATGTTCATTGCAGCACTATTCACAATAGCAAAGACATAGAATCAACCTAAATGTCCATCAGTGACAGACTAGATAAAGAAAATGTTGTACATATACACTATGAAATACTATGCAGTTAAAAAAAAGAAGGAGATCATGTCTATTGAGGGAAGATCGATGGAGCTGCAGGCCACTATGCTTAACAAACCAATGCAGGAACTGAAAATCAAATACCACATGTTCTCACTTCTGAGAGCTAAATGATGAGAACACGTGGACACATGGCAGGGAAATACACACTGGGGTCTACTTGAGGGTGGAGGGTGGGAGGAGGGAGAGGAGCAGAAAAGATAACTATTGGGTACTGGACCTAATACCTGGGTGATGAAATGATCTGTACAATAAACCCTGTGACAGGAGTTTCTTACCTCCGGAACAAACCTTCACACGTACCCTGAACCCAAAAAAGCTAGAAAAAAGTAAAAGCTGAAGGCATCATATTACCTGACTTTATACTACAAAGCCGTAATAACGAAATAACAAGGTATTGGCATAAAAATATACACATAGGCAAATGGACCGGAACAGAGAACCCAGGAATGAATCCACACAATTACAGCTAACTAATTTTCGAGGAAGACCCAAAAAACCTACATAGTAGAAAGGGAAGTCTCTTAATAAGTGGTGCTGAGAAAACTGGATGTCCATATGTAGAAAAATGAAACGAAATCCTCATCTTTCACCATTTACAATAATCAAATTAAAGTGGGTTAAAGACTTACATATAAGACCTAAAACTATGAAACTACTAGAATAAAGCATTAGGGAAGTGTTATAAAATAGTAGACTGAGAAAATATTTTCTGGCTAAGACTTCAAAAAAACAGGCAACAAAAGGAAAAGTATATAAATGGGATTACATCAAGCTAAAAAGCTTCTCCACATTAAAGAAAGCAGTTAACTAAATAAAAGGACAAGCTACAGAATGGGAGAAAATATTTGCAAACTATCCATCTGGCAAGGGGTTAACAGCAAGAATGTATAAGGAACTCAAACAACCCAATAGTATATATATATTATATATATAATAGAATATATATAATATATAATAGAATATATATAATAGAATATATAATAGAATATATATAATATATAATATAATAGAATATATATAATAGAATATATTTATATATATTCCGATTAAAAATGGGCAACAGAACTGAATAGACTGAATAGACACTTCTCAAAAGAAGACATACAAATGGCCAATAGGTATATAAAAATGCAACACCAATAATCAGGGAAATGTAAATTAAAACCACAATGAGATATCATCTCACCCCAGTTAGAACAGCTATTACCAAAAAGACAAAAAAATAACAGATATTGAGAGTATGTGGAGAACGGGGATTGCTTTTACACCTGTAGTGAGAATGAAAGGTACTACTGGCCGGTCTTGGTGGCTCACGCCTGTAATCCCAGCATTTTGGGAGGCCGAGGCGGGCTGATCACGAGGTCAGGATATCGAGACCATCCTGGCTAATGCAGGGAAACTCCATTTCTACTAAAAGTACAAAAAAATTAGCCGGGCGTGGTGGCGGGCGCTTGTAGTCCCAGCTACTTAGGAGGCTTGCAGTGAGCCGAGATCACGCCACTGCACTCCAGCCCGGGCAACAGAGCAAGACTGTGTCTCAAAAAAAAAAAAAAAAAAAAAAAGAAAGGTACTACTGCCTTTACAGGGAAAAGTAAGGAGATTTCTCAAACAAATTAAAAAAAAAATAGTTACCACATGATCCAGCAATCCCACTGCTGGGTATATGGCCAAAAGAAAGGAAATTAGTATATCAAAGATATATCTGCACTTCCATGTGTATTGCTGCGCTATTCACAATAGGCAAGATATGAAATCAAGCTAACAGTCCATAATGGATGAATGGGCAAAGAAATTCTAGTATATATACACAACATTTTATTATTCAACAACAAAGAATAAATCTTTTCATTTGAGGCAGCATGAATGAAACTGGAGGTCATTATGTTAAGTTAAATTAGCCAGGCACAGAAAGGCAAATATCTCCTGTTTTTGCTCACATGTGGAAAATAAAAATGTGGATGTCATGGAGGTAGAGAGTAGAAGGATGGCTACCAGCAGCTGGGAAAGGAAAGAGGAAGAGGTATGAAGAGGATTTGGTAAATTTGTATAAAAATACAATTTGATATAACAAACGTATTCTAGTGTTAGATAATACAGTAGGTAAATTATAGCTAACAATATTTTTTTGTATATTTCAAAATAGCTAAAAGAGAAGAATTGTAATGTTCCCAACACAAAGAAAAGGTAAATTACACTGACTTGATCATTACAAATAGTGCACATGTATCAAAGTATTTCATATACTCCAAAAATATGTACAATTATGCTATATCAATAAAAGTTACAATAAATAAATAAATATATAAATAAGTAAATGTTGTATGCCTTCAGATAAAACACATCTGTTTGCCCACAAGTTGTCAGTTTTCAAACAGTGGTAGAGATACCTGTCTTTTACTAATTCAATTAGGGTCTTATTTTACTTTGTCTGTATGGGGTCATGGGAAATATACACATAACTATTATATATCACATACACAAGTGGTGAGATATGATTGCAGAATAACTTTATGATTTTTATCTCCCATTATTTCTTTACATCTGGTCGTAAGTTTAATTTTTCCAATGCCCTGGATGAAATTTTGGACAGCTCCATGATTGTTCTTATCACTAATTAAAAGAAAAAGAAAAGAAAACTTCTTGCTAATATCTAGGACTATATAATATTCAGTACTCAGAATTTAATTTGCAGTCAAGACTTAATCTACCATACCCATCTTCACCCACAGCACTGCCTCTAGGTGGAAGGAAGCCTGTAGCTGAGATAGTGAGTGAGTTTGGTAGTCATCTTTGTACTTCTCTAATTCAGAACTTTGGTTTCCTTTTTCTCATTTTGGTAACCTCAGTCCAGTGTTTGATCCTGTGATAGGGAGAATCTTCGACCCCCAAAGATGTCCATGTCTTACTGCTCAGAACCTGTGAATATGTAAATTACATAGAGAAGGAGAATTAAAGTTGTTAATTTTATGACCTTAAAATAAAGATATTATCCTGAATTACTTGTGTGGAAACAAGGTAGTCACATGGGCTCTTATAAGTGGAAGATAGAAGGAGAAGAGGAAGAACCAGAGAGATAAGCTGAGCGTTGGTGGTATAGTAGTGAGCATAGCTACCTTCTAAAGAGAATTCAGAAAAGACTTGGCCTGGCATTGTTGGCTTTCATGATGGAAAATGTGGCCAAGCCAAGGAGGGTGAGTGCCTTCTACTATCTAGAAAAGACAAAGAAACAGATCATCTGTTAAAATCGCCAAAAGGAATTCAGCCCTGCCAATGCTCATTTTAATCCAGTGAGACCCATTTCAAGCTTCTGACCTCCAGAAGCACTCACAGTAGAGCTCTACCTCCAAAATGATTGTTTGAAACTAATCTTTCCTTTTACATATATATATGTGTAAAAGGAAAGATATATATATATCTTTATATATATATGTATACCATATATATCTTTATATATATGTATACCATATATATATCTTTATATATATGTATACCATATATATATCTTTATATATATGTATACCATATATATATCTTTATATATATGTATACTATATATATATATCTTTATATATATATGTATACTATATATATATCTTTATATATATGTATACCATATATATACACACACACACATATATGGTAAAATGATATATATACACACACACATATATACATATATATACACACACACCTATATATATACACACACATATATAGGCATATATATATATGGCAAACTAATGGACAGGGACAGCAGAAGGATCAACAATTGCCTAAGGATGGGAGGGAAGGGCATAAGGAAGGAGAGATGTAGTATAAAATGGCAGAAGGAAATTTTTAGAATTAATGAATACATTAAATACCTTAATTATGGAAGTGGTCTTACAGGCATAGATACACTTTAAATCTGATCAAATGGTATGCTTTTTTTATTATACGTTAATCACACTTAAGCAACTAACTATGTGCTGCTAATTTGTTACAGCAGGAACAGGAAATTAATAAAGGCTGCTCCTGGGTTAAACAAGGGAAACAAAGGAAAGAAGGGGGGCATGCACGTTCCCATGTGGCTGACGTTTCAGTACTGATGTAGAACTTCGCAAAACTCTGCATGTGGCAGATATTTAAGGCTGAACCCTGTATTAGTCCATTTTCACACTGCTAAAAAAGACATACTTGAGACTGGACAAGTTACAAAAGAAAGAGGTTTATTGGACTTGCAGTTCCACACGGCTGGGGAGGCCTCACAATCACGGCGGAAGGCAAGAAGGAGCAAATCACATCTTACGTGGATGGCAGCAGGCAAAAAAGAGAGCTTGTGCAAAGAAACTCCTGTTTTTGGAACCATCAGATCTTGTGAGACCCATTCACTATAACAAGAACAGCACGGAAAGATCCACTCCCATGATTCAATTATCTCCCACTGGTCCCTCCCACAACACATGGGAATTATGGGAGTACAATACAATTCAAGATAAGATTTGAGTGGGGACACAGAGCCAAACCATATGAAACCCCAGGAGCAGAATTCCTCAGATGCCTTCTCTCTATTTTTCTTGGCATGATAAAGCATCCCTCTTTAGGCTGGCATCCCTCTTTATTCACTCTCTCACAGTCCCTAGGCATGCAAGACTCTACTCCAGCTTCCCTGCTCAGGCACCTCTTCCTTCTAGGGGAGCCTCCTGTAAAGAATTTCTTTAGATCATGCAGTCTATGTCTGGCCCATGGGAGAATACTTGTGAAACATTTTAGCTTTAAAAGTTTGGTACCACACTTTCTTCCTAAACCCAGCCCTTTCTTCAGCTGCTCTATTCAGCCTCTTACCTGTTGGTTCTCTCCAGTGTGACTCAAACACAAGAATTCCATGGCCCCCAGCCTACAGGAGGCATGCAGTGAACTCCTTGTCTCCTTAACTTGACTTGGGAGAAAGGTAGTACCTCTCTCTCTGTGGTGGGTGGTCAGCACTTACAGTAGAGCTCTGCCCCAAAAATAATTCTTTAAAACTCATCTCTCCATTTACCAAATACAAAATAAAAAGAGAAAAAGAAAATACAAATTAATTTATCATGAAAGAGAAATATCAACAGTTGCCTAGGGATGGGAGGGAAGGGCTTAGGGAACGAGGGATGTATTATAAAAGAGCAGACGGAAATTCTTAGAGTTAATGAATATATTAAATATATTAATTATGAAAGTGGTCTTACAGGCATGGATACATTTTAAATTTGATCAAATGGTATGCTTTAAATATGCATTGCTTATTGTATGTCAATCATATCCTGATCAAGCTATTTAAAAATTGAAATAAAACACAATTTAAAAAAATCTGTCACATTCAATCCTCAACACTTTAACACTCTTTCTATGGGAAGAGCACTTATGCATCTAACTAGTTCTCAAAAACTTAACTTGAAAAACAAAGTTGCATTTGTCTAGTATTTCATTTTGGTATTTGTGTTAGACAAAACTTTGATTTTAACATCATGTGATAAACCAAGGTTAGGGTTTCTGCCCATTTGTCAGTTAATTAAAGAAAGGAAAATTAAACAGAAAGAAAAAAATTCTCTCACCTGAACAATTTAGATAATTAGTATGTTTTCCATTAGTTTTTCTGTATAATTGCTTCATTGCTGTAGTTTTCCTTGATAACATGTTTGTGATGACTGAAAACATAACATTTTTGGCTGCATTCCCCAGCTGGGATGGTTGCTTTTTTCTGTTTTGCTATAAAACTTTATGTAATGTTTATTTTAATGGAAGTCTAAATAAAAGGTTTGAAAGATCGAATTATAAATAAATGTTTAAAAAATCACTAGAAGTTAAAAAAAAAGTGATGAAGTCGAGATTACTAAGGAAAGCTAGAACAAGTCTTCTTAAAATGTTTATGGGTATAAAGAAGACACACAGATCTTGTTAAACTGAAGATTTTTGTGCCTTCTCGCCTGCAAGCCTATGCTTTAGCAGTGTAGTGTCAGACCCAGGAATCTCGATTTTCACTGAGAACTTTGATAAATTGATACGCAATGTCCCTGGGCACTCCACTAGGAAACACTGATTTTACTAGGGTCAGTATTAGTATTAGAGTAGCTTTTTATATCAAATTTCTGATCATCTACTTGGTGTCACACATGTTGATAAGTATTTTATATATGTCATGTAAAAACAAATTCACAAGAAGTGCCCATGGTAAACACTCTCACCACTTAACAGCTGAAGAAATCAAAGCCCAGATAGGTTAAGGGAAACTGATGAGGACACACAGATTCAAGAGATCAACTTGGAATTGGACCCAGGTTTGTAGACCCAAAGCACATATTTAATCAGTGAAGAAAACTTTCAAGAGATTATTTTCTTTAAAAAAAGGCTAGTACTTCCATTTTCAACGTGGGTGGAACTTAAATTTATATTTCATTGGGATACTAACGGGTATTTTTTAGAAGAAAAAGGAGAGAAAGGCAAATAGAGTCATGTAGACAGACAATTACAACTGTGTGGCATGTTCTTCTCCATCCCAATATAACTGAAAAATTTTAAAAAATACAACAAGAACATAATAGCCTGTCATTTTACTTGGTGTTTTCATGCATTTCATTTTCAAATTCCACCTAATTCCTAAGTAGGTATGTTTATTTTACTGAAGTGCTGTTCTCTTTATTCTACTGAAGCCAGTGTACAACATGCAACATGGGCCAAACTGTATCAAGTCTCAAAAAGGATAAATACCTTTGGCATGAGACATGCATTTCCAAAGAAACACTTTCCAACATGACGCATTATACAATTCTCTCTCACTGAAACTCCCACCCTTAAAATACATTAACCACTCAACCAAAATAATGAAAAGTTAGGATTAATATTTTTAGGACAGACAGGAAAAATCATGCCATCTTAGAGCTTATTCCCTGTACGCTCTCCTTGATGAGCATGCGCCATTGGATCCACTAGCACTGACAGAACCAGATTTTCATAGCCATTTTCATGCTTGGGTTCTTTGCTGATTGATAACTATCAATTGTCAATGAAAACATGTGGATTAGACATATCATCTAGAAAATATATGAAGTATTTGAAAACAAAAAGGAAAACACATTTTGTTGGATAGTTTTGTTCATTAAATGAGAAAATGCAAGCAGAAGAGCTGTACCATTGCTTAATAGGAATGCACAGGTGACTCTGGACCCTGAAACAAAAAACAAGTTTACTACTGTCTTAGTCAGGGTGCCCTAGAGAAACAGAACCAATAGGATATGTAGATATACAGAAAAAGATAGAAAGATGGAGACATAGATATCCAGGAAGAGATTTATTATAAGGTGTCTGTTCATGCAATTATGGAGGCTAAAAAGACTCAAGATCTACCTTCTGCAAGGAGGAGAGGCAGGAAAGCTAGCAGCAGGGGTTCAACAGCCTAATAGGCCAAGAGCCAATGGTGTAGATTCCAGTCCAGGCATGAAAGCCTGAGAATCAGGAGTATTGAGGGCAAGAGAAAATTGATATCCCAGTTCAAACAGTCAGACAAAGTTAATTCACTTTCCTCCACTTTTTTGTTCTATTTAGTCTCTCAACAAATTGGATGGGAGAGTCGGTGCACTAATTCACATGTTAATCTCTTTCAGCAACACCCTCACAGACACATCCAGAAGTAATGTTTAACCACATATCTGGGCATCCATGGCTCAGTTAACACATAAATAAAATTAACCATAACAACAGACACTAGAATAGTTTGGATTGGGATTCTATCAGATTATACCAAGGCCAGAAAATATAGGTATTCTTCATTTCTGCTTTCCCAACCACTTCTTCTGTGACAAAAGACAATATAAAAATATTCAACAATATTAGTGACAGGTACTTTGATGTTAGTATTTGATATCCCTGAGTAGACTTCTCTGCAAAACTGTGCTGAAGAATACGTCTTAGGTTCAAAACACAAACAAACATGATCTATCCCCTTAAGTATCTGCCTACCAGCCAGAGTCTGCTTTGAAATTCTAAGAACTTGCTAGCGCCAAATTCCAGAATGACTACATATATCCCTTTGATGGAGCTGTTCTAGTTCATAGACACCGTTCTAGCTTAATTTTACACAGATTACCTTTTCATTCTGAAAACTATCATGGTTTGGATGAAAGACTATGTAGTTACCACTCCAAGTACCCATGTGAAAAAGAAAGAAAATAAAAGAAACTAGTCTTGTTCTGATATCTCCATGAACTTGGAATCAGGAGGTTAAATTGGAAGGACTGATAGGAGAATAAGACATGTTGACACATGTTTATACAACATACTTGGAACCAGGTCACAATCAGCATCCTAGTATCAGTTCAATTAACATAGTATTCTTTCCTTTTGAGTGCTGGTAAAGAAGAATCTTCTGCCAATTCTCAGTTACTACCAACATACCTCAGAATTCCTGCAGAGTGCCTGACATGTGCTTCAGAGGTGTGTCCCAGAACTCTCCAAACCACTGTCATTTTCTACCATCATTACGAAGGCTCGGAGCCTTGTGCTGCAATTAGAGGTTGACGTTTCTTATGTGCCTGGAAGTTTTAGAGAAAGGGCAGTTTGTATTTTCATGTCTAATGGGAGCCACTTTCCCAAGGATCCATAATTTGAGTCCACAGTGATTAACTGCCAGAAGTTTGAGTTAGATAATTTCCATTTTTAATAACCAACTCAGGGTGAGTTCTTTCTCAGGTGGATTTTCTGTCTCTGATCAAAATTTGCCCCTGGTGGTTGTGCTCCATAGATAATTACAAACATTCCTAAACATGTTGGATTCCTGGTTAAATAATTTGAAGGTGAGCTGTGATCTCTCTCTCTCCTCTTTATGCCGTAATTTTCCTATTGGAGCTTACATTATAAGAGGTAGAAATACTTAGGAGATTCCTCTAAAACATTCAAGTGTGTACTCTGTCAATTACCCAAAATTAGAATGTAGACAGTGTTCTACCCCTATCTAGATAATAAGCTTCCATAGATGTGAAGAAAATATTTGGTCCCTGTTCACTCATCAAAAGTCTGTATCGGTGTCTGAGCCCCTTGGCCTCCTTCAGTGCCTGCACCAACCAGCTCTGAGGAGCTTGGGACTTCGATGATCCTTCTCTTTACTACAAGGAGTTTTTTTTTTTTTTTTTTAAGGTCTTTTTTTTTCTAAGAACTTTTATTTATTTATTTTTAATTATTATTATACTTTAAGTTTTAGGGTACATGTGCATAATGTGCAGGTTAGTTAAGGAAGAAGGAGGGAAGGAAGGAAGAAGCTTTCTCTGTGACCTTAGTTAAGACACATTCAATCTAAGGTTGTTATTTTCTTTTATATTAACTAGAATAGGGAGGGAAATTTTAATAAAGTCTTCTTAATGTCCTTCCCAGGATACAATTTTGCAATTGTATTTTATTTTATCTGCAGTGTTACCTTCTAACAGCAACTGCAACTGCATCTCTTTTGAGTTGTAGACCCTAGAAACTCAGGAACATACTCATTCTACAAACAACAGAGATGATGCCGGAACTGCCCTTTTACACTGTTTAGTGGTGGTGCTGCCACAGAGTTTTCTAACTTGAGCTCCCTAGCTCTGAAAATAGATGAACAATCTGTGGATGTTTTTCTTAATACCCCTTTTTGTCCTCACACAGGTGTGAGCAACAGAGAGTGTCTGAGCAGTTTCAAGCATTGGCTTCGAATAGTGGTCATGATTGTGTCTTTACCACATTCAGGAGAACTTCAACTTCTGTGAATATGCTTCTGAAAAGCCCTGATCTTTCAGCTAATTGACCTATTTACAGATATGCTCAAGAATGGCCAAAACGATTTTTGAAATCACTACACATTTTTTTTTTAACACATCTAAAGAGCCAGACATTCTGGTTGGTGCTAGGGATCAACTAGTGATCAAAGCACACTCATGCTCTGCTTACACAGTTAATTGTGGCATGATGAAGGCAGCCTCATGGAGAAGCAAGGGCAGCCTGTTGAACTGAGAGACTAGGAGACAGGAGGTGAAGGCCTCCATAGCCCCAGTTTTACATTCTGGATGGGTCGGGCATTTTTTTTTTTTTCTAGAGCCATCCCAGCACTGGGTACAGCAGGAGGCTTACTGTAGAGGGCTCACTGTGCTAGGTTACTTGCGTTAATATATTTATACACCTTCAGCTGCTTTTCTTGCTAAGTTTATATTCTGAGACAGCAATGCAGAGTTGGTCTAGGTAGTAGCCAATTTCTAGAAGAAACTTCAAAATAGAGTTTTAAATTTAGATTTTTCTTCAAAAATCTACAATGTAGATTATTTTCAATTTAAGTGGGAGGAACAGTATATCTGAATCAGCACTAGGTATTTTATGTTTAATCTCGCCAATTTGATAGGCAATAAAAACAATAATTTTTTTTTAAATTAAGTTATATTTGCTTTTACTAGTTAAATTAAAAACTTGTTAATATTTTTATTATACATTTTTGTTCCATGAAATTTTATGTGTGTGTGTAGTGTGTCTGTATGTGTGAGTGTTTCTTCTTAGCTTATTTTATTAGGGACTTGCTTTTCTGATTTATTAAAGCCATTTAAATATATTAACTCTATATCTTTCCTACGTGTTTGAAATATATTTTTCCTAATTTGCTGTTGGTTTTAAATATTTTATATCTTATAATGTATGACAATTTTATAGTTTCATTTCATCAAATCTAGATATACTTTTCTTTATTTTTTCCCTATGGTATTATTCTTAGAGAGGCATTCTCCAGCCTTTGGTTAAAGTTATTTATTTTCTTCATAGTGCTTTTAAAATTTTATTAGTAACATTTTAAATTTGAAATTGCATTGGTAGATACTTGAATTAAGTACCAGAGGTTTTTTTTTCCAAATAATTTAACAGTCTTCTTAGGATTATTTGTTAATAAATCCATCCCATTTCTGAGATTTGAAATGTTACCTCCTCTCTTTCAGAAAAGTGTTTAAATTTAATAAAAAAATACAGACTTCCTCTCTCTCTGACCTGTTTCTGCACTTCTAATTTTGTCCCATTGTTATATCTCAATTCTGAAACAAGTCCCAAACCTTTTTGTACACTCAGGCTTTTATTATTTATAGGTGTCTTTAATGTGGTTTCGCTGTTTTTTGCTTATTTTTGTGAGCAGTGTGACTTTGACAGGTGACTTTAGAAACATGAAGAAGCCAAGCAGCCTGTGCCTCTTTAGACAGGGCTTGATGTCTGCTTCTGAAGTTAGTGGCAGCGGAAGTGGAGAAGGGGATTGAAAGGTATCTTTAAATTCGAAATTATAGAAAGTAAAAACTGGTAGATGTGAGGACAGTGGGGAAACTAAGATCATAGTCGCCTAAGGTTCTGTTAATACTTGAGTTGACCAGGGGGGCTGGTTATGACATTGATCATGCTAAAGGAAAAGATGCCAGGAATGAGCTGGGGCAGAGTGAATTGGGCAGCCTTCCATCTTGACAGCACACCAAAATGTATAAATTAGCAAAAGCCCATCTTTCCCTAATGCCACTAAGCTGTCAGTTTCTGGAATTATCATCATTATTAAATTCATAATGGTTTTAATGAAGGTGTCATCCAAACTGACACTTTGAAAATAAAGTGAGATGATGCCTAAATTGGAGGCTTGGAATGACCTTAGAAAACTGCTCCAGGAAACTTGAGAATGTCCCAATTACTTAAAGAACTCTGAGTCAGCTACATGGCTCATTCCATTCATTTGCTTTGCATTGGAGAGATTTATTTGGATTGACACCGGTTCATGCCTCCCAGAAGGCTCCACCTAAACCATCACTCTGCTTTCTCGAGAAGCAAATAGAGCAGAGTCCATAAATCCAGCTACAAATGCTTTCAACAAATTAGACAAACAACTTGTACTGGCTCAACCTTATTATGTGATTTATCTGATTGATAAAGAGTTCAAAATAATTGTTCTCTACAGTTCATACACAATGAATAAGATGAGTGGTATGCCTGGCAAAATTTCAGCCACTTTCTGATTTTCCTGTTATTGCCAATATTTGTAGAGAATAAACATTTATCAAAACAGTATCATTCTTGGCTCAAATATGCAAAAGTGCTACCAAGTGCTACAAGATTTCTAACCTACTTATTATACAAAAATATGTTGTTTTTTTTCTTTTATTTATTTTATTTATTTATTTATTTTTTGAGATGGAGTTTTGCTCTTGTTGCCTAGACTGGAGTGCAGTGGTGCAGTGGCGTGATCTCGGCTCACCGCAACCTCCGCCTCCTAGGTTCAAACGATTCTCCTGACTCAGCCTTCCTGAGTAGCTGGGATTACAGGCATGCGCCACCACGCTTGCCTAATTTTGTATTTTTAGTAGAGACGGGCTTTTACCATGTTGGTCAGGCTGGTCTCGAACGCCTGACCTCGTGATCCACCTGCCTCGGCCTCCCAAAGTGCTGGGATTACAGACGTGAGCCACGGTGTCCCGTCAAGATCCTCAACTTCTAATCACATCTGCAAATCCCTCTTACCAGGCCAGGTAATGTGTTCACAGTTTCTGGAGATTTAAACTTAAACACAATTGTGGCCATTATTTAGCCTTCCACAGAACATTTTCGTCAGTGAGAAAAATAAAAACCTATTCAAAGACATAAATAAAGATTGCATGTTGTCAAATGGTAAACAGGAAATCCTACCTCTGCTATTAATCCCTTTCATTTTCAGGAGATCGTAGAGAGCCTGATAGAATTTAATTCCAGGTCAGTTTGAATTTCAGACTAATATGTGATTTTACAGATACTATAGTGCATGAGGCTCCAAAATATCTAGGTTATGAGAACTTCCCATTTAGATATGAAGAAGGCACAGCATGTAATAAGAGATCCCCTAGTTACCATTTTACAATATATTCTAGGTTCAGGCCCCCCGGGCAGTATACCACACTACATCAGGAACATGGGAGCAATGTGCCCACTCCTAGATTATTTGCCTATCCTAGAGTTATTATTCATGTTATTGTTCCTGTCTTCATTTCAATAAATCATAAAAACTTTCCATTTTATCCATAAACACTGCTATAATTTGGCATTTATATTTATTTCTTAAATCCAGTTTCAATAAACACTTTACAGATACACACAAATAGATAGATTTAAATATAGATTTTAAATCATGTAGATTTAAATATATTCGAGAATACCTGGCCGGGTGCGGTGGCTCACGCCTGTAATCACATCACTTTGGGAGGCCGAGGAGGGTGGATCACCTGAGGTCAGGAGTTTGAAACCAGCATGGCCAACATAATGAAATCTCGTCTTTTCTAGATATACAAAAAAAATTAACCAGGCATGGTGGCGGGTGCCTGTAATCCCTGCTACTTGCGGGGCTGAGGCAGGAGAATCGCCTGAACCCAGGAGGTGGAGGTTGCAGTGAGCCGAGGTTGCATCATTGCACTCCAGCCTGGGGCAACAAGAGTGAAACTCCGTCTCAAAAAAAAAAAAAAAAAAAAAAGGCCAGGCGCAGGCGCAGTGGCTCACGCCTGTCATCCCAGCACTTTGGGAGGCCGAGGCGGGTGGATCACGAGGTCAGAAGTTTGAGACCAGCCTGGCCAACATGGTGAAACCGCATCTCTGCTAAAGATACAAAAAATTAGCTGGGCGTGATGATGCGTGCTTGTAATCCCTGCTACTCAGGAGGCTGAGGCAGGAGAATTGCTTGAACCCGGTGGGTGTGGAGGTTGCAGTGAGCCAAGATGGCGCCACTGCACTCCAGCCTGGACAACAGCACGAGACTCCGTCAGAAAAAAAAAAAAAAAAAAGCTAAAGCATCCTACAATAAAGAAAGCACAAAAATAGTTCTTGCACGAAAAAAATAAAAGAATGTATTATTAGTAATACTCAGACTCCACCACTTAAGTGAGGTACCCAGAATGAATTCAAACTTACCAATGATTCATGATATGTGTGTGTAGGGGCATTAGTTGAGATTAGCATCTTTGTACCATATCATGCTGGAAAGCTAGGCTAAAGACAATCTGCGTGTTGTCTTAGTCACTAGCCTAATGTGTTTTGAAATTCTTCATGAAGAGTGGGAAGTCACTGAAAAAAATTCAAACTGGCAGGACTGTAGGTTCTACATTGTAAAAGGCACATATTTTTGTGGCAGGTGAAATAAAGAAGGAAATTTGGAGAAGGCCAGTTCCGCTGCTGCTGAGAGGCTGAATTAGGGCAATAGTAATAAAAAAGTAGGGTGAACCAGAGAGAATCGGAAGCTAAAATCTCTAAGGTGTGTGACGGATTTGATGTGGAGGGTAAGGGAGACCACTGGGAGGCAGTGTTGGACAGCAAGATAAGCACAGGCTCAGCCTTCGGACATGGTGCAGGGAGACTGGCTCCACCAACTGCTGGCTGTGTGACTTTGAGTCCTTTGCTTGACCTCTCTCAGTCTCAATTTCAGTCCCCTGAAATTCCTACCTAAAAGAATTGTCTACCTGGAAGAATGCTTCTTGCATGGTGTGCACTTAACAAATACTAGTTTTGCATCTTTGTATTCACTTAATTTCCTTGATTCCCATGGCAACCCAGTGTGCTTATATTATCACCTCATCTTTTTATTTTGAAAACAAAGCAATATTATTTTTGCTTCTTGCCTCATATTCATTCTGCATAACATGAATAGCTATCTCAATCATACAATATTTTATACAATAATTTCCGATAAACAATTATTTTGATTTTGATTTTTGAGATAGGGTCTTGCTCTGTCCCTCAGGCTGGAGTGCAATGGCACAATCACAGCTCACTGCAACCTCAACCTGTCAGACTCAAGTCATTCTCCTGCCTATGTCTTCCTAGTAGCTGGGACCACAGGCATGTGCTATCACGCCTGGCTAATTTTTAAAAATTTTTTTGTAGAGATGAGATCTTCCAGTGCTTTCCAGGCTGGTGTCAAACTCCTGGGCTCAAGCAATCTTCCCATCTCAGCCTCTCCAAGTGCTGGGGTTACAGGTGTGAGCCACTGTGCCCAGCCCCAAGAGCCAATTATTATGCATGGAATTAAATAACTTAGCTGTTAATTATCAGGGATGAAGGAATTGTGGTTCTGGAAGGATTTAGCATGGGACTTAGGCAGATGTGCAGTGCATTAAGGCACCATAACACAAGCCTGGAGCTAATACCATTGTGCCCTTACCCACTGGGCCATCCAGAGAGATGTGCACAGAGAATGTGAGACAAAGCAGAGAGATGAGTTATTTTAACTAACATGCTTCAGCTTGAATGGCCTAGATGTTTATATTTTATCTTTTTAATCAAGTGGAAAGTAATCATCTATTGAACACACATACACACTCACAGGCAGGCACACATCTTTGCACAAGCAAACAGGGATACACAACAGGAAGGATGCTTGTCTCAGCACCTGATGGGGGTGGAGATAACATCGTTGGCAAGAGGACATCTAGTTCAGGTTATACTTCAATATGTGAATCCCCACGTAGACAACCTGACCCACATACATCACTTAACAATGGGATACCTTCTGAAAAATGTGTTGTTAGGCAATTTTGCCATTGTGCAAATATTACAGAGTGACTTACACAAATCTAGATAATTTAACCTACAGCACACCTGGGCTATATAGCCTAGTGCTCTTGGCTATAAACATGTGCAGCATGTTACAATACTGAATACTGTAGGCAATTGTCAGACAATGGTAGGTATTTGTATATCTAAACATACCTGAGCATAAACAAGGTACAGTGAAAATACAGTAGAAAAGAAAAAGGGTAGACCTGCTAGGACACTTAGCGTGAATGGAGCTTACAGGACTGGAAGTTGCTTTGGTGAGTCAGTGAGTGAGTGGTGAGTGAATGTGAAACCCTAGCATGTTATGGTACACTACTATAGACTTCGCAAACACTATACACTTAGGCTATGCTAAATTTCTATTAAAAAATTCAACAGGCCCGCCGCGGTGGCTCATGCCTGTAATCCTAGCACTTTGGGAGGCCAAGGCGGGCAGATAACCTGAGGTCAGGTGTTCAAGACCAGCCTGACCAATATGATGAAACGCCATCTCCACTAAAAATACAAAAATTAGCTGGGCGTGGTGGCAGGCGCCTGTAATCCCATCTACTTGGGAGGCTGAGACAGGAGAATCCCTTGAACCCAGGAGGCGGCGGAGGTTGCAATGCACCAAGATCATGCCACTTCACTCCAGCCTGGGTAACAAGAGGAAAACTCCTTCTTAATAATAATAATCATCATAATAATAATTCAATAATACATTAACCTTAGCTTACCAGAACTTTTTTACTTTCTAAACTTTAAAACTTTTTGATTATTTTGTAATATCAGCTTAAAACACAAACACATTGTACACATAGAAAAAGGTATTTTCTTTATTCTATAGGCTTTTTTCTATTTTTAAATTGTCTTTATTAATTTTTTACTTAAACTTTTTTATTAAAAACGAAGACACAAACTCACATTATCCTAATACACAGGCTCAGGATCATTTATTTCATTGTCTTCTACCTTCACATCTTGTCCCACTTGGAAGGTCTTCATGGGCAATGGCACACAACGAGCTGTCATCTCCTACGGTAGCAATGCCTTCTTCTGGATACCTCCTGCAGGACCTGCCTGAGGATAATTAAAAAAAAATAAGTAGAAGGAGTATAATCTAAATTAAACATAAAAAGTATAGGATAGTAAATCAGTAACATAGTTGGTTATTATCATTATCAAGTAATATAATGTAGCATCATACTGACCATATAGTACATACTTTTATATAACTGGCATTGCAGTAGGTTTGTTTACACCAGCATCAACCCCAGCACATGAGTAATGTGTTGTGCTATGGTTAAGAATGGTACAATGTCACTAGGTGATAAGAAAGTTTCAGCTTTATTACAGTCTTATGGGACCACTGTCTTATATGCAGCCCATCCATCATTGAAACATTGTTACGTGGCACATGACTGCATCTCACCTAGGACACATGTATCCTAGGTTTTCTTTCTGAGCACCTCTTGCCTAGTTAGTATACCTTATCCAAGAGGCTCTCTCTGTCTTCCTTTCTCCAAATAGCTAATCTCTCTTCTCCTGCGTAATCTCAGTTCCTACGTCAGATCTGCATCTCATATTGAACTTAGCACTCTGGTTTTAAAATAACTTTTTTTTCTCACCAATCAGTTATTGAGCTTATTGAAGAAAAAGAAATGCGTCTTTCACTTTTGTGTGTTCAATACTCTTTGCTGTTCATTCACAATAGCAGCCAGATGAATATTCACTTCTTAATATCTGAGACTTGGATCAGAGATTATCGCCTCCCAACAGTTCTAGAGTTAGGGAATGTTTATTTAGATCTTGTTCTCCCTTGAAGGCTATTTTCTCTTTTCCCGACTTCTATAGGTTGGAAGGCCTCTGTTCATGGCCTCTGAAGCCTTCTCTATTCCCTCTTCCTGAGTTTCTTATCCGGTGCATGTCTCTACAAACTATGGATATGCTGATGACTCCACAGCAGCTATGTTTCAAGCTTCCACTTTGTCCAGATGTCAGACGGAGGTTTCAAACCAAACATGGACCAACCAGAAATATTTTTGTTCTTTACCTTAAACTGGCTTGTTCCTAATATTTCCCATCTCAGGCCCCAAAAGTTACAGTTACCCTTGATTTCTAACATTACCTGAATCCACCTGCAATTTATGAACAATTTTAATCTCTCTATGTCAAGAATCCTTCTCAAGTATGATAAGACTTTATCTCCACTGCTCGCTGTGTGTCGCTTTTCACCAGGGTCTCTCATCTGGAGCACCAAAATTGTCTGCTCACTGTCCTGTCTGCTTTTGTTCCTGTTTGCTTTGCATCCATTTCCCACACAGTGGCCAAAGTGGCATTTTAATAACCTAAGTCAAATTGATACCTGCCAATGCGAGCCTTCTAGTGACATCTCCAGATAGGACGCGTAAAACCACATTGCTTACCATGGCTTGAAAAGGTCTATGTAGCATGGTCCTTTGTATCTTGCTAAACATACTTCCTACCATTTTCTTCCTCATTCAATACACACCACTGGCCTCTTTTTTCTTTCTTGAGTGCACCAGGTTCTTTCTTTCTAAATTTATTTATTTATTTTTTTTAGAAGGAGTTTCGCTCTTGTTGCCCAGGCTGGAGTGCAATGGTGCTATCTCGGCTCACTGCAACCTCTGCCTCCCAGGTTCAAGCGATTCTCCTGCCTCAGCCTCCCAAGTAGCTGGGACTATAGGTGCCTGCCACCACACCTGGATAATTTTATATTTTTAGTAGAGACAGGGTTTCTCCATGTTGGTCAGGCTGGTGGCGAACTCCCGACCTCAGGTAGTCCTCCCGTCTTGGCCTCCCAAAGTGCTGGGATTACAGGCGTGAGCCACCGCACTTGGCCTACACCAGGTTCTTTCTTATTTTATAGTCTGTTTTGCATGATGCCCCCAGTTTTTACAATACTATTTCCCAACAATTGAATATAGCCACATTTTTGTGATTCTTCACATATTGCTCAAATAATACTCAACTGAGATTTCTCTTTCAAATCCACCATCTCCCTATTCAACCAATTACTTTTTAATACCTAACTCTATTATCTTTGTATATAGACTACTTTTTTCTTAAATCATGTGCGTATTTATTTATGATTAATTGATTGTTATATTTTCCTTGACACTAACATCTGGATTGTGTATTAGAGCCTGAAACAATGTGTGTTCCACAGGAGGGCTCATGAAATTATTATTTATTACATAATGAATAGGTCGGTCTTAACAGGACCATACAAATTCATTCAGCTACACAAGCCCATTTTACAGATGGCCAAACTGGCTTACTCCTTCTGATAAGGGTTCGGGGATTTATGCCTTGTTGTATTGCTGTTTCCTATTCTGCCCACGTCTCTGTAAGCTTTTATTACTTCTCATAACACACAGCACTTAGGAAATGTAGAGATAACAGAAGTACAGCTTATTTATTCTATGCCTCGGAGTAATTTTTAGAGCTTTAAAATATTATGTGCACATTTTATAGGAAAATGAGAGATGGATAGCCCAACCTCATAGGTTTGGGTTGAGGATGGCTCCCAGGGTCTCAATATTTTGTGGCATCACCGTTATAAAAGTAATCATCAATCTTCATCTTTGTCTTCTACCCAACACACTGTGCCTCTTGATGCTTGTTTTCTTTTCTTTTCTTTTTTTTTCCAGCAAGAATTTCATTTTATCTTTTGAAGCCAAATGTGTACACTCCACATGCTTTTCAGAACAGAAGCAGCTGTCTTCTGATTGTTTCTCTTTGTGTCAGTATTGTATTGTTATTAAAAGTGCTCATTCATTGCCTAATGCTTAAATCAGTACTTTCTTCTAGAATCTCTAAGCAAATGTAAATATTTGGAAACACTTTTAAGTTTGTTCGCACTGTTTTTATTTACCTTCTTCATTATTGCCTGTAATACTGCTCCATACTTTTTATAAACTGAGGATGAATTTAGGTCATTTTGTGGCCTTTTCTTAAAACATATAGTTTTAATTTTCATCTAGTCATATTCAAGCTCAGACTATATGGTTTTGCTTTTTTGTTGTTGTTGTTGATGTCTCATGGGTATGTAGTTTTATGCTAAAAGTCAGTGAAAATGCAAAAAATTAATTTCCTTGCTTCTGAAAAAATATGTTAAATTTCTTGTACCACACCTAAAATTGGAAGTGAACTGTGTGTGTCTGCTAAAATTGAAATAGAAAAGAAAAGAAAATGGCAGAAAAATATGGTAATAAGCATATGGTTTCAAAAAAAAATCTCTGAACTAGTCAGAATGTGTTAAATCTAATCCTGATTTTTAAAAATTTTGTATTTTTCATCACCTAAGTGTCCAGGAGTACCCCATTTATTTTCCTACTATTTTTTTCCTCTGTGAACATTCACTATAAGTCCTACCATTGCAAACTGCCAAGAGAAATAGAATAAAAAAGCAAACATAATGCTAATTATTACAAAAATTAGAGTTCATGGTTTGGGAGCTGTTGAAATTTTGTTAACTTAAGCCTTAAATAATGACAGTTTTCAGTTTTTTGTTCAACTCTTGCTTACATACTATGTACTAGACTGTGGAGGACTCAGTGAAAAACAATACAAAGTCCCTCCTGTGAAGCTATGTATAGTTTTATGGATGACACACACAATAAACAAGCAATGTCAGCCAAGTTTGCTGAGGGCTACAAAAGGGAACATTGCAAGGGTGCTAATGAACATACAGTACAAAGGAAGACTGGTCAATGTAGGTTTCTTTAAAAAAGTGACAAGAGGTAAAAAAAAAAAACATGAAGAATAAGTGGGATTAACTGGGAGAAGGGGGTGGAAGAAGAGAGTAGGGGAATGTGAACAGATCTGGGCAGTAAAAACCCTGTGAGCATATGCCCAAAGGAGAGATGATGAGTGTCAGGAAGTGAAAATAGCAGAATATGCTAATGGAAGTTGACAAGGAAAAGATTGGAGTTTTAGAAGTTAAGCAGATTACCAAATATTAAAACTTTTTGCAAGTCAGTTTAAACAGTTGGAATTCCATCCATTGATGAGCAATAAGGAACCACTGTGGGTTCTTAAGCAAGAGGTGGTACAGATATATTTACAAGAGCTCCTCTGGTCGTGGGTAGGAAATGGATTACAGCTAGGCAAAAGAAAGGCCGGTTTTGGGTTTCTTTGCCTCTCAGGTTCTAGAACTAGCCACTTAAAGTCAAAGGCCCTAAAAATATGGCACAAGAAGACAATGAAGTACACACCTATCCCTGACACAATTTTCTCAATTTCTTTCCACCTGTGAGAATGATGCAATGGTTAAAACACAGACTTAGACTTAGAGGCAGATGGCTTGGGAACAAATCTGACCAGGTGTCTATGGGTGAATTGCTTTATCTCTGTGTTTCAAGGCCCTTATGTATAAAATGGAGAACACAATGGTGCCCTAAATTATAAATTTCTGGGGCTGTCAAATCATGCCATGTTTTGCACAACACAAGAGGTTAAATTCACATCACAGCTTATTGGCTGAGTTGTGATAAAGATTAAATGTGCCAATACATGTAATGAGCACAGCCCACAGAATGTGATACATAGGTGCTAGCTACTATTATTACTAATGTGCTGGCCCTTATTCCATATAACTTTGTATAGCTTCTGTTTACTCCTTCTTCTTTGTAAGTTACAGATAGCCTTAGGCCCACTAATAGTATTCAGAAGGCATGAGGCAAGAATACAAATAGAAGTCCCCTGCCTTCTCTTTGACCCCTGGCAGCATGTCATCTTAAAATGATCTGGTGGACATATCTGTGGACAAGCTCTTCCTCACATCCAAGCCAAGCTCCACAGCACTCCAGTTTCTGAAAGCACATACCTTTTTTGCTACCCGTCATGCTGAAGAGTACGTACACATACAGGTTAGTCTGTAAAAGACTCTTGCATACTGATCCATGTGTACCTGCAAGTGGGCATGAGGCTATTAC
Organism: Homo sapiens; assembly: GCF_000001405.40. Classification (NCBI taxonomy): domain Eukaryota; kingdom Metazoa; phylum Chordata; class Mammalia; order Primates; family Hominidae; genus Homo; species Homo sapiens. The sequence continues at coordinate 137,327,615 of NC_000008.11, read as the reverse complement.
ACATTTCAGAGACCTGAGTCTCCAAACAGTGGTTTAGAAAAGAAGAAGTGAGTTCTGGTTAGGTGCTTCAATAGGTCCAATTGTCCCATGAACTCCTTGACCTCAGGGGATGGGGCAAGAAGGGATGGGGCACAGCAGAGGAGGAATGGAGTAACGTTCTCTAATGTATGAGGGCCCAGAGAAGGAGCCCCAATTGCCAGATCTACAAGCTCCTTGAGTAGCCATGACTGAAGAATGTGTCCCTCCTAATTCTCTCTAGGCTATTATCCTCTACCATCCTCAAAATAGAGGACAGAGACAAACTTAAATTTTACTATCATGGTGGGCAGCAAAGAAGAGACCCAGAAGGTAGGGAGAGCATTCTGTCACCAAAGCACACACCTCCTTGCCTCAGTGAAAATCCCTTTGAGTGCTATTGCAACTCTGTTTCACCTCTTAACCAGAGACAGGAAGAGGCATATGAAAAATACAATAACTTACTCCATGACAATATCTTCCTTATAGGTTTTATAAAATTCTAATGGGGTATGCACAGATAACTCATCCTCCACAGAACTAGAACCCACACAGGCTTTGGAGCTAGACCAACCTAAGTTTAAATTTCAATTCTACTCTTTTTTAGCTGATGAAGCTTTGCGTATATTGATTTCTCCCAAGTCTCATTTTTTTCATATGTGAAAAGTGGATATAATACCTGTCTCCTAATATGTGTAAGGAAAATACATAGGCTTATGGATCTCAAGCATCTAAGAACATTGTAATTAAGTAAGTAAACTTTGAATTTTGCTTGTTTCATATTTTTTCTTACCAGTAAAAGATAAAATAATTTGGGTACCCAAATTATCTCACCCAGAATGCAAACTCCTTATATTTGGCTTGGACAAATAATCCTATTGTCTGTCCACGTCAAATTGCTCAGAGTTCCTTAATATCCCTATGATTGCATTTCATTTGTACTCTTTACTTACTCATTTTTGGATGCTCCCAAAAACCTAATCCCACTTCACCCTTACACTTACTTCTTCCGTGTTGAAAGAACCTTCCGTTTGTTCAGGTACCAGCTTCTTTAGAGAAGATAGACCCAGCCCTGCTAGCAAGTCTTAATTACTTTGAATCAATAATATAATTTCCATTTTCAATTCCAGTGTTTGATTGAAAAATTGACTTATAACACAATTCTAGCCAATAGACATAAGGGGCTTCCAGGCAGGGTTCCTTGTTTGTAAAAGAGAACTCAATACTATAATGTTTATGACCCAAGAATTTTGATGTTTCTGTAATATGAGACTAAGAACTACTGAGGCATCCAGTAATTATGAGAGGGAGAGCCCAAGGTCAAAAGCCAGCATACAGGGAATGACAGAAAGGAGACTCGGAAAGAACAAGATATTTATTTTAATCTATATCAGTAATGTTTAAACTCTGGATTTTCTGATATGTGCAAAAATGAACCTCTTCTTGATAAATAATTTTGAGTTTCAGACCAATATGCCCTTACCTTTGATCATGCTATTTTCTCCATTTGAAATATCTCTTGCTCCTTTTCTAGTTACTAAAGCACAACTTAATTTTTTTAATGTTTTGTTTGTTTGTGTCCTGGTTTTCATTACCATCAGTTACCTATATGAGCTCCATTTAATTAATTACTTTAATATCTATATTCCTTTAAGGCACTTATACTTCCATTATGAGATGACTGGTGAAAAGCCATTTGCCATAACTAACCTGTAAGTTCTCAATATCCAAGGCCATATATTATTCATTTTTATATCAGTAGACCCTAACACTAGCTTATGATGCAAACCCATCAACCACTTCCCAAACAGAATTCAACCACAGCCAATTAGAAGCGTACAAAACAAAAAGCTTGCCGTGTCAATCTAACTCACCTAAAAAGAGCATGGCCTCTCTTTCACTCAAAAGCAAAATCTAAGTCTAAATCAAAATCACTTGCTGTGGCTTTGGAGGCAACTCCTCTGAAAATAGTATGGACTTCAGGCATTTTACAGTCTAGTTAGGTTGCATGTTGTTGCAATGATAATAGGCAAATAATATGTTTTTAGATGTTTAAAGAATAACTTCATTTGTATTTTTCCACCAATTTAATAAATATTTGAGATTCTTCAATTACTCAGCCCTTCTTCTAAGTTCCAGGGTTACCTTTAAGAAAAGATAGGGAACTGGAAATTTATCAAGCAGAAAATGTAATTCAAATGTGTCTGCTGCAATGGAGCTATGTACAAGCTAATAATGAAAGCAGAGAGAGAGAAAAAAAGATTAAAGACAGAGCTTTTAAACTGTAAATAGATGGGACAAGAATAATATGTTTTTAATAATCATTTTTTATTTTATTTTATAGTCTATTGCCCACGGAAAGTTTGCATATTTAGACAGTACCATCATGGTCAAGGAAATAGACCTATAACAGGGCTTCAAGTCAACATGCCCCCAAATAAAAGCAACTCATAAGAGCTTTATTAGCATTTTTCTGATACCCCACACCCAAAAATGGAGGCACAATCTAAAAGATAAACTTCCTTCAATCCAGTACAACATGTTCTTATGGTACTCAAGGATGTAAAAAACTTCTAATTTCAAAAGAACACACCTACGTACAGGGTACTTTTAGAAAAGATTTCAGTGTTTATTTTGCTGTGTGTTCAACTTCCTTTTCCTCTTCCTTCTTATTTTAGGGTGAGGTAATTCGGAGAATGTTCCATGTTCATATGGCTTCTGCTGTTCTGTTCTTGCTTCAACAAGAGATTCAAGAGAAATTTGCATAGTGTATCTGTAATCTTCTTCTGGGAAATATGTTATTGATCCATTTTCCTTAAAACTGTATTTTGTGTTCTTTCTCATCTATTTTCCTCTGATGCAGGCGAAGTCTGAATCAGAATTTTGAAAGTGGAAACCTAGAATGTAGGTGTTAGGAATCTATATTGTTTTATACTTTGCGCTTCTTTATTTTCTCTTTTGCAAGTGAAGCTTCAACGTTGAGTGATTTCCAATTCTGGCTCAACTACAGTCTAGATTATTTCCATTTTCTCAGGGGTGTTACAGGTGTTCAAAATATATTTGAAGCAAATGATTAGACTTTTTAAAACCTGTGGAGAGAATACCCTATGATACTGATAGTAAATAGTGCCACAAAAGTAAATACTGAAACTAAATTTCAAAAAAGATTAACATATTCAACATCTGGTGAGTTTGAAAATTAATATAATATTTTAATACTGTGGATTTCAAAATCAATAATATATTTCGGAATAAAATGACAAAATGGTAAAACTGACTTGTAATGTACTCAAAGTAATCTTCAGATTAGTATATCAGTCGTTTATCTGTAAATGTAAGAAGTTTTATTCTAATTTTATATCAGTAAGTATAACTATAATGTTAAATTTTTGACCAATTTCATGCCAAATAGTGAACACATTTTTCTTCTTATATTATTCTCAAATGGCTATTAGTGAAAACTACTTCCAAGAAAATTATCCTAATAGTAAACATTTAATAAATACCTATGGCTTCAAAGTTCTATACTAGGTGCAGGCAAAATGCTGCTACATACAGCTGTCCTAATGCTTGTATAGGTGGAATCCTATTCTAATATCTTCCATGGCAACAAAAGGAATTTGCCCTATCAAATGATTTCAAGTAGTGTTTAGTATAATATATAATAATTCCATTTATCAAACCAAGTTGGCTTAGACCTTTGACATTTGTTATACGGTTAACCTTAGTCCAACTAGTCTCAGGTATTTCTAATGTTTGTATGGAGGAAGTAAGTTCCCAAACACACACACGCACACACACACAAACACACGTATATGTATGTATGCCACGTTTAACAATTGATGATGATTTTGCTTACTACAGTGCAGAAAAATTAAAAAAAATGCTTTTGTGTGTTCATATATTCAGGACAGGGAAGAATTGAGTGCTTCTCTCATATCACACACACACATAGGTATATATGTATGTCACCTTTAACATTTGATGACTCTCTTACTCGGCACAGTGCAGAAAAATAAAAAATAACGGGCCGGGCGCGGTGGCTCATACCTGTAATCCCAGCACTTTGGGAGGCTGAGGCTGGCGGATCACGAGGTCAGGAGATCGAGACCATCTTGGCTAACACAGTGAAACCCCGTCTCTACAAAAGATACAAAAAATTAGCCGGGCGTGGTGGCGGGCTCCTGTGGTCACAGCTACTCGGGAGGCTGAGGCAGGAGAATGGCGTGAACCCCGGAGGCGGAGCTTGCAGTGAGCCGAGATCGTGCAACTGCACTCCAGCCTGGGCGACAGAGCGAGACTCCATCTCAAAAAGTAAAATAAAAAAATAATAATAATAAATAAATAAATACAAAATAACAATAAAAAATAACACTTTTGTGTATGCATAGATTCAAGACAGGGATGGATTGATGGTTTCATAGAGTTGCTGTGTCAGTGGGAACTGAAATAATTAGAACAGATCATTTCAGTCCCACTGACACAACAAGTCTATGAATAGATACTGTTATTGCTCTTTTTGTTTTATTTTGTTTTACAGATTAAGAAAATAGGGCTTATTAAGATTACGCAGTGTTTTCAAAATTGAAAGGCATGTAAGCAATGAAAACACAATTTGAAAATAGGCTAACTCCACAGCCACAAATAAAACATAAATAAAAATGTGACTAATATGCTGCATCATACTCTAGTCAGGTAGAAACACTTGGGGAGGGAAAGCAGTCTGTATTTCTATCACCTTCTAAATTCTAGACACATATATTGTTACTAAACACATACTATATGTCAGGTATTGTGCTTATTATAACATTGAGTTTTTGTCTATTCCTTTCCTCAGGAATCACTCAACAGGCAGGAGACACATAAATAGATAATTATATCCAGTGAGGAAACCAGCTCATGTTCGTGATGTGTCTTGCCGAAGACCGTAAAATTCTCCTCTGACTTCCCCTGACCCACACCATCCTCCTCTTTTCCACCAGCTGCTTCTCAAGAACAGAAATATGATCAGTCAGGAATGATCCTCTTGTGAATGATGCACTTGCTCTCTGCTTTATTTTGCAAACCCAAGCAAATCCTTCAACCTTCCCCATCCAGCTCGCTCATCTATAAAGCCGAAATAATCACACTGACCCAGCCTCCCGGGGTCAAGATGCGAATTGGTTAGCTAATATTTGCAGATTGTTTTGGAAATGTTAAGGACTAAGGGTTTTTAAGACTGCACTATGGTGTAATAAAAAGACATAAAACCAGAAAGCAGAACAAACCATTCTTTGAAGCCCTTGCATAAAGGGTTGGAGCCAAAGAGACAAAAACACAATTATAATGAAGACAGTGAACTCTAAGTGACAGCAAGAAATTGCATCATCACTTTTGAAGTGAGCGAGAAGACACTTGTGGCATTGATCTGGAGAGAGAGAGAGAGAGAGAGAGAAAGCAAGGAATAAACCTACTGAGTCCAGTACTACATTACTCTATTAAACACCTCCCTTGTGTATTCAGCAAATATCCTCAGGCTTAAAACTTAGTCCTCTTCATCTTTCCTGGTCTGAAAATGTTACTCAGTTCCCTACTCCCTAATGCCTCTCTTCTCCCTTCCTTCCTCTCTTTCTCTCTCTCTCTCTTCCTCTCTCACACAGTTCTATACGTGGAAGCAGGAACACTAGAGCTAAAAGAAAAAAATGGTTATGTCACTTAAAATCCTTTATTTGGCTGTTTGAGAACAAAATAATGCAAAGGTTTTGGCATGGCATCAAAGGCACTCCCAATAGGCCTGGCCCGGACACTCTCCACCCACAGCCCCCAGTCCTCCACACTGCTCTGCAGCTTTGGCAAAGACAAATGACAGGCCACTGTGCACCCTTCATGCACCTGCGCTGTCTCTGTCCTTTCCTGAATGCTCCCCACCTTTGTCTATCTCATTTCTACTCAGACAAAATATTGATCTGTATAATGCCCCTTATATGAGCTCAGTCAGGAATGCCACTTCTTCCTCCACAGCTGCACTGCCATTCATCTCTTTGTCCCTAAAGTAACTGCCCTGTCAGGAATTATATTAATACTTAGCTCTGGAAGTTCGTTTCTCAGTGAAAGAATCATGCCTCCTTGTGTTTGTTTTGTTTTGTTTGTTTAATGCTTTGTATAGTGGTTGGCACTGCTTAGTCTTCCAATAAATGTTTGAGAGCAGAGGAAAAGAAAGAAGGAGATGAAGAAGATGGAAAGATGAGAAATTACAATGGATGGAAGAGGGAACACAGCTCCTCACCTAAGAATTTTATGATCTAAAATGAAAAACAAAAATCAAAAAAGTAAAAACTTACTACTAATACTGTGTATTAGTATAATATAGTATATAGTATAATAATTAGTATAATATAGTATTTTCCTGAACCTTCTGAGAGAAGTACAATTGTTAAACCCTTTTTGCATATGAGCATACTGAGGTACAACAAAGTAGCTTATCCAGGTTCACACAGCTAATAAATGACAAACTAGAATTTGAGCTCAGGCAGTCTGAGTGGCACTAGACTATGGGAATCTGCCCTTGCGACGTAGATAACAGCACAGTTTCAAGGCCTCCCAGAAGTTTCTTATACACAATCATTATTAAGCAACTCTCTGGGTTAGAATTTGTGTACGTATTTAATAACCTCCCTGAAGGCAGCAGAGGCGTTTTCCAAAGGAAGGGCCGTTTTAGTGGGTTCTTGAAAAAGAAGTGTGAACTGACTAAGCACAAGAAGAAAGGCACTCCAGGCAGACTGAGGCTTCCTGAGGCTTAGGAATGTCAGGGCGAGTCAGGCAATCAAAGGGACAAGGAAAAGTCAGCAGTTCGGGGCAGCCGATGGGAACATTCAGCGTGGGAGACAGTGAGAGATGATGTAGGAGAGAAGATGAAGGATATGTCATGGATTCCAGGGTTACCTGGAAGCAATTGGATAAGCTTCAATGATCTATGAATTTAGCAGTGATTCTTAGACACAGCCTTTTGTCACAGATTTCATGTTTCCCTCAAAGCTCGGCTAGGGAGCCGAATCCCAGGCAGCATGTATTCCAGGCAATCTACATGGCTTGTATGTAATCCGCCTAGAACCACAAAGTGGCAGGTCAGTAAGAGGTGCATAGGGATGCCGATCTGCAGCCTACAAGTTAAGGCAAGCTTTTCTCCCTTTCATTCACTAACTATCCTACAACCTGAAGGTGGTGCAAAGGGGGCTTCCCTCAGATTAGACTCCAGAGATAAATCTGAGGATTCCAATACTCATTGTGGAATTCTATTTGCCTTCCCAGCCTACACCTATTATGGGAATCTGCCCTTGTGACATAGATAACAACACAGTTTCAAGACCTGCCAGAAGCTTCTTATATGCAATCATTATTAAGAAACTCTGGGTTAGAATTTATGTATATATTTAATTGACAAATAATAGTCATGTATATTTATAGGTACAATGTGGTATTGTGATCTATGTATACATTGTAGAAATATTCAATCAAGTGAATGAGTCAATATTTTATTCTGTAGGAAATATACCCATCTGGTCATGGGCTTCAACTCAGGTCATCTAGAAACTGGTAATTTTTTTTTTCATTTGTTTCACATGTGCTTATATTTGCTGAAGCTTTTCCAGACTTCCTGAACTGAAAAGTAGCAAGGGTGAGGGACTTCTGCTCCTATGGAGATGGAATAGATGTATGTTCTCCTATTCCTCTAAGTACAACTAATGACCTTTGCATGTACACACACACACACGCACACACAGACACACACATGCATGTGCATACGTGCACGAGAGTGGTAGAGAAGAAAGTGGTGGTGGTAGGCAGACTGCTAAAAATCTTGTGACCTTAGAAAGTTCCATGTTTGTTTTGTTTTGTTTTGCTTTTGCCTTGAATATACCAGAATTTAAACTGAGAAACTTGGTAACCCGGAAATCGCAACAAACAGACAAACACAAAAATAATAACTACTATAGCAATAATAACAACAAAACTGATCTGTCCAGCCAAAGATCAGGAAAGGAGCAACTTGGTAAAACAGAAAATGTGAAGACAATGACTGTTCTTCCATCAAACACCACAGAAAAACCTGTGGTCTCCCATAAAACCAGATTACCAAAGGCCTAGTGAAGAACTTCACCTTCCACTTTTTGGAGACTGTTAAGAACGCATCCAACAACTCTGCAAAGAAGGTTTCAGAAAAGGACTCACAGGGAGCTGAGACTGTAAGGAGGCCCCTTTCCTCCGGGTGTTAGTGGAGCCCACTCAGGGAGCTGACATCCCCCCTTCCACCCTGTAATAATGAGGGGACACCCCCTCACCATGAGTCAATGAAGGCTCCAAGGGCACCCCCTCACCGTGAGTCAATGAAGGCTCCAATTGGAACCTGGACTTTTGTGCCCATCTGGCAGTAACAAGGTAACATCAAAGCCTGGCTGAAATAGTATGAGTGTCACAGACTACGTAAGATCCAGAGCCTCAGAACATAATAAGAAAATGCTGTTTTCAATTGGAAATCACTTGTTATACCAAGGACCAGAAAGATCTCAAACTGAATGAAACAAAGATAATCAACACTATATATATATAATATATAGATTTAGAGAGTCTTGTTCTGTCACCGAGGCTGGGGCGCAGTGACATGACCTCGGCTCACTGCAACCTCCACCTCTTAGGTTGAAGCAATTCTCCTGCCTCAGCCTCCTGAGTAACTGGGATTACAGGCACCCACCACTACACCTGGCTAATTTTTGTATTTTTAATAGAGACGGGGGTTCCACCATGTTGGCCAGGCTGGTCTCAATCCCAAAGTGCTGGAATTACAGGCATGAGTCACTGCACCCAGCCTCTGTCAAAGATTTTAAATGAGTCATCATAAAAATGCTTCAGCAAATAGAAGCGCACGTGAAACAAATGAAAAAAAAATACGAAGTTTCAACTCAGTTGCTGAAACAAAAGATGTGTCAACCCCAAATCCTGCACACAGTAAAATAACATTCAGGAATAAAGGGAAACCCAAGACATTTCCAGATGCAGGAAAACCAAAAGTATTTGTCTCAGAGGAACTACCCTAAATAAATGTCCAAAGAATACTATCTAAACTGAAAGGAAACAATAAAGAAGGAACTAATAACCAATAAACATCAGGAAGGAAGAAAGAACATTGTAAGCAAAAGTATTAGTAACTACAGTAGGCTTCGTTTCACCTTTTGAGTTTTCTAAGTTGATGATTGAAGCAAACATCATAACATGCTGAGGAGGTTGTAATATACAGAGAGAGGAAATATAACACAGTTACATTACAAAGAAGGGAAGGTAAAGGAATGTAAAGTAGTAAAGTTTCTACAGTTCACTCAAACTGCTAAAATGATGACACAGTAAAGAGTGATAAGTTATGTTTATATATTGCAATAGCAGGAACAACCATAAACAAATACACTATAGAAAAATCCAGGTTGAATTTTTTTAAATATTCAGGTAATCCACAAGAGGGCAAGAAAAAGAAAATACACACACAAAAATCACAACAAACAGGAAAAAAAGGCAGCTCTGAGTCCTAACATAACAATAACGATGTCCAGGGCAAATGGTCTACATATACTAACGATTGGTACAGATATTGGCAGACTGGAATAAAAGAAATGACCCAACACTTCCTGTCTACAATAAACTCACTTTAAATACTATGACATAGGTAGGTTGTGTATTTTTAAAAAATGAAAGAAAAAATGTACATATAACTGAAAGAATGCATAAGTTTAATATCAGATAAAGTAGACTTCAGAGAAAAGAAAATTGCAGACTCAGAGGGGAATGTTATGTAATGATAAAAGGGTCAATCTACCAGGAAGACATAAAAATCCTAAATGTGTATGCATCAAATAATAGAGATGAAAAATATGAGAAGCAAAATCTGTTAGAACTAAGGATGAATAAACAAATCTACGATTGTAGTCGGAGACATCAACACTGCTCTCTAAACAACCAATAGAACAAATAGATAGACAATTATCAGGGATGTGGAAGACCTCTGCAGCATCATCACTCAGCAGAATCTAATTGACATTTATGGAATACTACATCCAACAATAGTGGAATACACATTCTTTTCAAGGGCCCCTGGGACATAAACGAAGATAGTTCATATTCTGGGCCAAAAAAAAAAAAGAAATCTATTTATCTCATCCAGCTGATGCAACTCAAAGGAACTTCATTTTATTTTTGGTTGTCTTTTGTTGTTCTGATATTTATTCCACCTGAAGTATCATGCTGAACCACATGAAATTCCTGTTTTTAGAGTTCAAAATGATCTAATATCAGCATTTTTATGTAGTTTGAACTAATATGTTCAAAATCAGGTCCAAACATTTGACTTCAAACTTATTTTCTATTCATCTCTTTCAAAATAATATCTTCTTTTTTTTTCTTTTGCATTATCTTGCTAATTTGAAAACAACATAAGATTTGGATGCATACCATAGACTTTAAAATTTTTTTTCTCCTGTCCTCAAACCAAAGAATATACACATTTAATGTTTAATAACATTGCTGAGAAAACATTGGTGAAGGGAGCATGGATGTTGCATTTAAAATCTCAGCTTAAGGGAGAATTCTGAAAAGATGGAAACAGCATTAGGAGCACAGATTTGGCTCTGCCTAAAGACCCAGAGAAACTACATTAGAAAGCTGAAAACTCATGCATGTCATTTACCACTTCTCACTCCCCACAAAACCAGGCCATCATGTATTTCTATGAACTCCAAAATAAAACACATGTGGCGATAAACCACCAGTAGCCGCAAGACCTGTACATTATCAGTGTCTGTGTGGACGCTAGCAGAGGAATCAACACAACATGTTGAACCTGAGAAATGGGGAACCGAAAAATCCCCCACAAGTATTCACTGGAAAGACTAGTGGGTCTATTTGAGAAAGCAGATGAAACCGTGAAGGAATTTGCCCGATCCAAGGGAGGTCTAAAGGGCTAGTCCAGCCTCTATTCCTATGAACCTTGAAAACTGAGCTACCAGGGCTAGCTTCCAGGATGGGGCCCATGCTGAGAAGAAACTACTATGAGTGAAATCAAAACTAAGAAGTCTAAGGACAATAAATATTTTAAAATGAAGAAATACCCAAGTGGAGAAAGAACATGGGGCCAGGAAAATTAGAAGTCCAGCTGGCACATTTAGTATTATTACAAGAAAACAACAAAAGAATATGGTTTGTGATATTAAAGTAACTATCTAAACTGATCCTCTTTTAAAACTTCAGAATTGAATTTGTTTCAAAATGAGCAACAGAAACATACAGAGATCAAATTTTATACAAAGTTACTCTAAGATAAAGGAGAATAAGGAGCAGAATAACATTCTGCAGGCAATGACAATATGCCATAAAGATCAAAAGTGAAATACATCATTTCAAAACTATTTAAAAGACATCGAGAAATTCTTACAAGGCACGAAGGGAAAATGTCTATCAGAATTTTTTTAAAACTTAGGTGCAGAACTCAAGAAGGAATTATAAATAAAAGGATATAATTTTGGAAATGAAGAGTAAGCCAGATGGAACACCAATAAACAAACATAATAAATGATGCTTAAAGAGTTATAATAGTGAAAAGTGGAATAATATTGTTACAAATGAGAAATAAGATTTATAAAATGATTTCAGAAAAAGAAAAAATATTGAAGATATGCAAAGAAGATTCAACAATGATAGAAGGAATCCCTAAAGGAACAAGAAATGAAAGCCAGGCATAACAAATATTGATGAAAGCATTTGAGACCACGTACGCAAATAGTATATTATGTCTATGAGAATGTTAACCATGAATGACCAACACCAAGACACACATTTGAGTAAAATTTCTAGAATTTAAAAGACGTGAGAAAAACATGATTTTGGATATTTAGGCAAACACACAAGTATGTAATTCATAAGAGAAAATTAGTTTTATATCAGACTCTTGGGAGTCATGCTTTATGGCAGAAGAAAATGGAATAGCATATTTAAAGGCACTCAAGAAAAGAAAATGTAAGCCAATAAATTTATATTCAGCTAAAGTGACCTTGAAATACAGAGGATATATGAGTCCTTCTTAAGGAGTCTATTATAAAATAAATTTCTGAAAAACAGAATAGTTGGAGAAAGATTGACAAAAAGGATCCCTTGGAATCATTGTTTATGTAATAGGTTTTAGAAATAAAGAAAAGGGAAGGTAAGAGACAGAGAAAGAGACAGAGAGAGAGAATATGTTTTAATGGCTACGTGATCTACCTGTACAGATAAAATGCAACCATTAAAAATTGGGGCTTGGGGGAGTTGATGAGAATGCAAAAAAGTAACCTTGTGTTCAAAAACTATATGGAAGGTTATACATATAAAATGTAATAAAGACACACTTATATGTGACCCAGTAATTTCACTCTTAAAACTCTACCTTCCCCATCCTACCATCCAACAAATGAAAATATGACCACATGAATACTTACATGCTAAGATTTGCCACAGAATTTTTCTTAGCAGTCAAATAGACAAAATAATCTAAGCTTTTATTGACTAGTGAATGCATAAAAAAAGTAGTACACCCAAATATCCAAAACATGGACTACAACTTAGTAATAAAGGAATGAAGTACTGACACAAGCAACAATATGGATGAATCTAAAAAAGAAAAATTATGGTAAGTAAAAAAAGCCAGACACAAAAGACAACATTTTGTATAACCCCGGGTATGTAATATTCTGGAAAAGTCAAAGCTATGTTGAAAAATGGAGATTAGTTGTCCCTTGGAGTCAGGGCAGGGGCTAGGGGTTAACTGTAGAGGGGCATGAGAAAACTCTACCCTGATTTGGAATATTTTAAAACAATTCTGGAAGAGGTTGCACAACTGTAAGCATGTAGCAAAACTCAACAAACTACACTTAAAATGGATGGATCTATGGAATGTAGAATTAATAAATCTGTAAACAATGAAGGAGAATTGAAATAGCAAATGACAAAAATAAGACTGTTTTTGGTAAACATAATCAATGCTGGTGGAATTATCATGGTTATTCTGAGATTGTTGTGTGTGAAAATTTGAACAAAACAAATGAATAAACATGGGATCTCCTAAATGTATCATCATCTTATCATTAAGAACAAGGTTTCTCAATGTGAAAGAAAAAAATATATATATATATGTAATCGAAAAAAAAGTAAATAAAACCTATCATCCTGATTTTGAGTTGAAAATATCTGTTTTAGCTCACACTTTAATAATCTACTAAACCATGCATTTTTATAGTTTATGGTATGTGTTTTTTATAAGACATAGTTGAGAAATGATAAGAGAACTTAGGTAAACATATATGCATAAAGTATTTTTTTCAATTTTACTTCTCACAATGGTACAACCTAGGTCAATTCTCTTGAAACAACTCATCCTCAATCTTCCCTTCACGTGAAATGGGGATAATGGTACTCATTTTTAAATATTCTTGATTATGATATATATCTGAATGCCTGGTAGGGGTGGAGTCATTTTCAAATGGGAAAAGGATGTTTATGATAATGATCATGGTTATGATAAATTATTGCATATTTTTTGTAATTTTCCCTTAGGATATAAGGTGACAGAGCCATGGATTTGATGAAAAGTTTCCAGAGATTAGAAATTCATATTAATAAATAATTTTCCTCATGTGATTTTTGGCATTCAGGTTTTACAGTGCAGCACTTACATTTTTATCTCTCCAAATGTCTCTTGTAGTGTCTGCAAATTGACTGAGTTTAAACAAGAACAGCAATCACTGCAAAACAAAAACAAACAAACAAAACAATATTTAGGTCTTTTCCAGACATGAAGTATGTGTTTGGGGATTATCTGAACACTTGCCATGGCATTTTTCCCTTGTTGAGAATTTTCTGCCTTCTTCCTATGATAAACATTTCCTCTTTTTCATTGTCATGCACTGGCATTTTCTGTGCATTCAGTGTTGCTTAGCACTTACTTTATTATTTAGTCACTCTCTGCAATTCCCTATAAACCTCTACCCCTCAACCCTCAAACACAAATCCCTTCAACTCAGGAAATTTTCTTTAGGAAAAATAAAAATAAGTACTTCCTATTATTTTCCTGTAAGTAATAAACAAATAATAGAGTCCTTGAGGGGATTTCTCATAATCATTTGTAACACATTTGTGTTCATTATTGCATCTATAAATCTCTTTGAGAATGAAAAATCAGATTGCAGTTCTATTCAATAGCTGGAAACACTACGGTGCAGAAACGGGAAGATGTTCATTGCCACATCTCTAGCAGAGCCAGAGCCAGGAGTAGGACAGGGATGTTTACACTTTCCAGGAGGACCTTCATTTTTTAACCTCATAGATGTCCTTAGCTTTTTGGGGGACTGGGGTTCCTTTAGATGATTCTAGCATGAAGAAACATCACCTCACAGATTCTTCAATGCATTCTGAGTGGGAGACTGGTCACCCATCCCTATTAGCATGTTCTGGGAGATTCTGACCTATTATGGAAAGTTAGACAAATCTGAAACAAAACTAGGTTCACTGCCCGTGAGCTGATCAAACTGAGATGTGATTGAAGCCCAGGGAGAGGCTCCTCAACTATTCAGTATCAGGTGGTGCTGGCCCACTCTACAGCCCGGTATCCTGTAGGCTCAGCTCTCTCCGTTTGCCTGAGGAAAAAGAATGCCCTACCTGGGGGCCTCAAAAAGTCTCCTTTGAAAAATCGCCTCTGAATTATGTGCTGATGAGAAAAGGATTTCCCTGCGCCAAGAAAACACCAAAGGTTGTTGATCTGGGGGACGGTGGTCTGAGAGACGCCAGAGGACAGAGTGGGGCTGGAGGAGAACAGCAGTGCTGAGTGTGCCGTACAGGTGACAGTGTGGCCAGGCCAGCGGTGCAGCTGTTAGCAAAGGTGGACAGCAGCTGAACAATGCCTAAAAAACATTGTAGCATTGAAGATCTCCCTAAAATACCTAGCACCACCTAGCAACTTTCTATTCTTTTGAGATACACAGTCAATAATCTCTAAGAAATAATTCGGTTCAATGCTCTCATTTTCAGACGGAACGACCCCACCCAGCCCTATCTCCCAGGATTTCTGGAGGAAGTGATGGGTGAGCTCAGTAAAGGGGGGAGATCAGAATCCCGCTAACCAAATGTGGATGCTGAGGAAATTGAGAAGGGAGATAATTATATGATGGTGAGATATTTTTCTTTACCTGTGTGTGAAACGTGGGCGTGTATGTCATTTGAGTTTGAATGATCTTCATATTCACTTGAATGGCTGTGAGCTGCTCGAATACAACATTCTGCTTGAAATAGCTTCAGCAACATTGAGCCTGTCTCCCGTTTTGTAATGTTCATTGGGTATTTGAGGAGACATCAGGAAAGGACAGAAAGGGAATAAGCAGCCAGGCGCGGTGGCTCACGCCTCTAATCCCAGCACTCTGGGAGGCCGAGGCGGGTGGATTACGAGGTTGGGAGATAGAGATCATCCTGGCTAACACGGTGAAACCCCGTCCTACTAAAAAACACAAAAAATTAGCCGGGCGTGGTAGCGGGCGCCTGTAGTCCCAGCTACTCGGGAGGCTGAGGCAGGAGAATGGCGTGAACCCGGGAGGCGGAGCTTGCAGTGAGCCGAGATTGCGCCACTGCACTCCAGCCTGGGCAACAGAGCGAGACTCTGTCTAAAAAAAAAAAAAAAAAAAAAAAAAGGAATAATCAAAATAAGGAAAGGTAGAAAAAAGCAGCAGAGTAGTTTAGAAGAAACAGCATTGTGCAAGCATTGATATTTGGAGCTTGGTCACAATTCTACTTCGGTGTGGTGAGTAACTTCAGGCAAGTTGTAACTCAACTCTTTTTGTTTTGAGACAGAGTCTCGCTCTGTTGCCCAGGCTGGAGTGCAGTGGCCCGATTTCAGCTCACTGAAAGCTCCGCCTCCTGGGGTGATTCTCCTGCCTCAGCCTCCCGAGTAGCTGGAACTACAGGTGCCCGCCACCATGCCCGGCTAATTTTTTGTATTTTTAATAGAAACCGGTTTTCACCATGTTAGCCAGGATGATCTCGATCTCCTGACCTCGTGATCTGCCCGCCTCGGCCTCCCAAAGTGCTGAGATTAGGGATTACAGGCGTGAGCCACCACGCCCGGCCAACTTAATTCTTAACTACAGTCTTCTCATATGAAAATGAGAGCATTGAACCGAATTATTTCTTAGAGATTATTGACTGTATATCTCAAAAAAATAGAAAGTTGCCAGGTGGT
Organism: Homo sapiens; assembly: GCF_000001405.40. Taxonomy (NCBI): domain Eukaryota; kingdom Metazoa; phylum Chordata; class Mammalia; order Primates; family Hominidae; genus Homo; species Homo sapiens. Next base: position 137,311,324 of record NC_000008.11, on the reverse strand, counting down.
GCTAGGTATTTTAGGGATATCTTCAATGCTACAATGTTTTTTAGGAAACATAATGATGCGTGCATGTGCCTCTGTGCCTTTGTGTGTGTATGTGCGTAACCTTAGTTTTTTTATCCTAGCAGATTAGACCATGTGACAGAGGAGACTTTTAATGATCTACATGCTTATATGTAAGTGAGATTTATCACTTGAGCATGAGAAACATAATCTTTGCTCCTCTTCTTTGCTGCTATACATTCCCTGGCCAAACTTCAAGTCGCATTCCAAGTGTCTTCTTTTCTGAAATTTCTGTTCACAAAGGGTTAGTGTTCATGTTCTGATTCTCCATGTTCCTGAAGAAACTCACTCCAGTGATTTACAAAGCTGTCGCTCCAGAGCGATGTTTTCAGCAGTAAAGAATTGTCTTGTAGGGGTGTTCATTCTTTGCAGATTATTTACTGCTTCCCGGGGCGGCGTTTCTCCCACAATCTCCACACTAAATCAGGTGCCAAGTCCTGTTGGTTCTCCCTCCTAAACATCTCTCATAGCTGTCTCCCTGCTACAATCCCTCTCCCAATGGCATGGTGTTCATGCCAGACTTCATCCTTCCTGTCCTGGACAGCTACTAAAGACTCTAAATGCATCTCAATAATTCATCTTGCTATTCTCCAAACTACTTCTTTAATATAATCTTGCACAAACTCTTTGCTTTAAATATTTCAATGACTCCCAGTTGCCTTTAGAAAACACTCTAAATGCCTGCCAATATATGTAAATTATAGATGAATAATAATATTAATAGCTAACAAATAATAAGATACAATTATAAGTCAGGGACTTTAGTGGCATTGATATGGCTTGGGTCTGTGTCCCCACCCATATCTTATCTCGAATTATAATCCACACGTGTTGAGGAAGGGATCTGTTATCCCTACCTGTTGAGGAAGGGAACTGATTAGATCATGAGGGCAGTTTCCCTCATGCTGTTCTCATGATAGTGAGTGAATTCTCATGAGATCTGATGGTTTCATACATGGTAGATTTTCCTGTGCTCTCACGTACTCTCTGTCTCTTCTGCCACCGTGTAAGACGTGCCTTCTTCTGCCTCTACCAAAATTGCAAGTTTCCTGAGGCCTCCCCAGCCATGCAAACTGTGAGTCAATTAAACTTCATATATATATATACACACACACACATATATGTATATGTATATAAATTATCCAATCTTGAGCATTTCTTTACAGCAGTTTGAAAACAGACTAATACTGGTTTACATGCATTAACATATATCAAAACACTAGGAGACATCCCCATTTCCTCAAGAAAACTCAGGCATAGAAACTTCAAATAATTATCCATGGTCATACAGCCAGGAATTGGGAAGCTGTGGTTTGAAACCAGGCCTTGTCCTACAAAGTTGATGCTTTAACCCACTCTATCACTTCTCCCTCTGCTATTTTCATAAGCTGAGTTTTACCTCCTTCTCCAGCCCCATGGTCTCAAATCTCCGCCACTCAGCACACAGAGGTTTGGAGATATTCCTCATACACACCTTGCTGTTCTTACCAAGTTTGCCTATTTTACTTTCCATTTCTAAGATACTATATCTTACTTCCCATTTCTAAAACAGCCTTCCCACATCTTCAGCTGGAGACCTTCTAGAGTTCTTCCATATCTTGGAGCACGTTAACTTCTCCAAAAAGCTTTCTCTGACTCTACAAACAATCTGTGTTAGATTACCCTCGCTAACACTCATGTAAAACTTCCAGGAACTCTCTATTGCAGCATTTATTACCTTATGCTTCCATCCGATTTGGCCATAGGACATTGTCCTTTTTTTTTACACTGTTGGATTGCATTTGCTAATATTTAGTAGAGAACATTTGTATCTATGTTCATGAGAGATTATTCATCTGTAGTTTTTCTTTCTTGAGATGCCTTTATCTGCTTTTGGTACTAAAGTGATACCGACTTCATAAACTGCATTAGGAAATACTTCCTTTGTTTCTACTTTCTGGAGGAAATTGGAAAAAAAGTCTGATTTTTTTTTTTCCTTAAATGGTTCCAAAATTTGCCAGTGAAATCCTCTGAGCCTGGTGCTTCCTTTTTAGAAGATTATTAATTATTAATTGAATTTATTTAATAGATACAAAGTTATTTATATATATTTTCCTTGTATGGATTTTGGTAGCTTATGTCTTTCAAGAAACTGGCCCATTTCATCTCAGTTATCAGATATGTGGACTCTTCCTTCATTAGCCTCTCATTCCCCTGGGATCAATAATGATAAACTTGTTTCAAATGTCTGATATTGGTAATTTGCATTGTCTCTTTTTTTCTTGGTTAGCCTGGCAGGGAGTTTATCTTTTTTTTATTTCCTATACCAGCAATTCATCAAAATTACTACTTAAGTGTTCCTAATAGTTTTAGCTCCAGTGACTTCCATTCTGGATAAACAAATCTCAGTTGTGACTCTCTGGATTCAATTCTCTCTCCAGATTTTGTGGTGGCAATATGCCCTGCATCTTCAGTTCCTGATAGGCCCAAGAGAAGTTAATTTCCAGTTTCTTTAACTTTTCAATGCTTTTAAGTCTGGAATCATGACTTCCAAGTACATTACATGTTGACGCTGGAACTGGAAGTCTTACCTTGTATTTCAGTTGTTCCATATCTCTCTACTAGAATCTTTATTATTAATGAATGTCTGGCATTTCTCCTTTGCCTGTGTCTAGAAAGCAGTCGAGAATTGTGGCCAGAAACTGTAGTGCCCACACAGATACCCTCCATCCTTTTACCAGTGTTGTGTGTCCATCCCCCAGCCTCTGTGGGCTTTGCTGCTAAAGGCTCACATATGACGTTTTCTCCAAACAATTGACTTCTGGCAAGTGAAGTCACCTTGCCTGTGTGGAAAGATGGAAGAATCTTGGGATGTACTTTATCAGCCAACCAAGCACCATGTGCTTTTTAAATATTCCAGCTCTCTTGTCTCCAGTCATGACCGCCTATGTGGTGAAATTTATATTCCAGAGGTCCCTGCAGGATTAGAATGGGTTTGGGACTTAATCTGAAGGTTTACCATTATTTTCTTTTCTTTTCTTTTTTTTTTTTTTTGAGATGGAGTTTTGCTCTGTTGCCCCCCAGGCTGGAGTGCAGTGGCACGATCTCGGCTCACTGCATCCTCTGCCTCCCGGGTTCAGGCAATTCTCTGCCTCAGCCTCCTGAGTAGCTGGGATTACAGGCACTCACCACCACACCTGGCTAATTTTTTTTGTATATTTTTAGTAGTGATGGGGTTTCACCATCTTAGCCAGGCTGATTTTGAACTCCTGACCTCATGATCCACCCGCCTTGGCCTCCCAAAGTGCTGGGATTAGAGGCGTGAGCCACGGCGCCCGGCCTACCATTATTTTCTACTTCTTCCCTACCCTGCTTCCCTTACCCAACTCTCACTGTCCCAGGAGCATTTTCTCACTTTATCAATTGCACCTGAATATTTGGCTCAGGGTATACTTCTGGAAGACTTAATAACCTAAGGTGAGTATGTAAGTGTCACATAAACTTAAAAAATAAATCTAATGTTAACTGACCCCACTGTTACATGAATTGAAATAAACGTAGTATTTTGTATTTTGGTTACTAGAAAATACACTGTAGAATTACTTGTACCTGTTCTTTTGAGTAATTCCTGTCATTCTTCCTAGATTGTGAGCTTTTGAAGTTTTAAAAAGCATATTCTTCTCACAATTTCTAGAAAAGTAATAGGCATCTAACAGGTAACTAGAAAGTATCAATGACTGATTGCTCATTTAATTGAAAAGTACATGGCATGCACCTGGATAATTATTTAGAAGGTCTAATAAGAAAACTAAAATTATTGATTGAATTAAGCAAAAATTAGTAATTTTGCCCCACAAATAATTTTAATCCACATATTCCAAATCATTTTACATTTCCGCTTTAATGTTTCTATGCTGATATAATACCTCAGATATAATCTCAACATATAATTTTTTGAAACTTTGCCTTATAAATTATCAATAAAAGAATGGAAAAGCATGTGAAGATTAATACATTTGAGACCATCAATAATATCTTAATGTGAGTATTTCTGAAAGCTGAATTGTAATCACAACCTAACAATCTTCTCTAACAGAGGTGTCATATAGCACCTAAATCATAGATAATCTCAAATATTAATATATTTTTTTTTTAAAAATGGCTAAAATGTAAAAGACCGAAAATATCAAGTGTTGCCAAGAACGTGAAACAGCAAAAATTCTCTTACAGGGCTCACAGAAATGTAAATTGGTGTATCTATTTTTGAAAATGGTTTGGCAGCATTTATTTTTTCAAAACTATTAATTAATAATTAATTAATTAATATTAATTAAGACAGTATGCAAACAGTAAAATGTACCCTTATTGATATAATCACCACTGCAAACAAGATAAGAATTGTTCCATTATACCCTCAATTTTTTCATGCTTCTTCGTGGCCTACTACTCACCCCTACAATCAGCCCTAGAAATCACTAAACTATAGTTTAGCTTTTTCCAGAATGTCATATAAATGAAAACATGCAGCATTTAGCCCTTTGACTCCAGATTCTTTCATTCAGTATAATGCCTATGAGGTCTGTTTATATTTTTGCATGTATTAGTAAGTCTCTTCTTCTTTGCTGGTGTTTAATATTCCATTTTAGGAATATTCCGCAGTTTGTCCCTTTACTGGTTGAAAGACATTTAGGTTGTTTTCTGCTTTTTGTGTTTATGAATAAAACCATTGTGGATAATTGACTGTAAACTTCTTTGTGAATATAATTTTTCATTTCTCATCTGTAAATACCCAGGAATGGGATTCTTGGATCATGCAGTGGTCCTGTATTTAAAATGAGAAATTGCCAAACAGTTTTTTAAAGTGAGGCATTCCCATCATCAATATATGCGAATTTTGATTGTTCCACATTATCAGCAATACTTCATATTGTTATGGTTTTCTCTTTTTAATATTTTATTTTAGCAATTCTAATAAGTATGTAGAGGTTTCACATTGTCAACTCAATTTGCATTTTCCTAACGCAAATTTTACTGTGCTTATTTTCTGTACCGATATGTGTTCAGTGTGGTATCTTCTCAAATCTTTCACCCTATTAATTGCTGAGGAAATTGTGTGCAGTATGCCCACCTGTGATTGTGAATTTCATCACTGATTGCTCCTCTCAGTTCTATCAGCTTTCTGCATCATGTTTAAGGAAACTCTGTTTTTAGGTACACATATGTTTAAAATTATTTTGTCATTTTTTTCTTATTTACCCCATTATCATTATTTTGCAATTCTAAATGTTCTTTCTTTTCTAGCCTAATAAAAATGCTACTTCAGAAGTCTCTTTCTGATACTAGTGTATCTACTCCAACTTTGTTTTGACTAACGATATATATTTTTCCATCCTTTTACTTTTAGCCTGTTTCACTTAAATACTAACAAAATTAAAATGTCTTCTTTTCATCATAAAACCTTGAAGATAGTGAAAAGATAAAGCACAAACTGAAGAAAAAGTATATGATAAGTATAAAGGTTAAAGTGTGCAAAAAATGAAAGTTTTCTACGAATAATTTTTAGAAAAATAAGAATAATAAAAATGTGCAAAAGTCATGAATAGGCATGTCATACAAGTAAAAATTTGCTTTGTGAAGCTCACACTGGAAATTTGCAAACTCAGCTACTTCCAAATTAGTCTATTCCAAGAAAAGACACTAGAGGCACATGGGAAGACTGGTAGAGGAAGAAAAGTTTGGCTTCTTTTTGTTTTCTGTTTGTTTCCCATTTTCCCTTCTTGTAAGTTAATCCATCAATCCCTCTTCATTCCAAACATGAAATTTCTTTGCTGTGGCCAAAGTTTAACTAGTTTGAAGTTTTTTATGCCCCCAGCATTGGAATAACCTGTTTTATTGTGTTTACACAAAGATATTGATACCAGACAGCCTTACTGCAAACTTAGGGATCGGGCCTTCCTACAGTGCCCCCTTGTATGAACTTAGAGAACCCCCTCCCATGGGCTGAGGCTCTCATTGAAGTGCAGAAACCCCAGTACCTCTATTTAGGAAACTGGATTCCAGCCATGCAAACCCCCTCCTCTGAGTCAGAAAAACCTTCTCTAATCTATACCAGTGTCCTCCTCAGAGGGCCACCACATTCTGAGTTGCAGCTCTATAGGACTTCTAAGCTTTAATAAAGCCAAACTCTTCCCTATGTTTCCCCAGGCCTAGAGATGGTAGCTGAAACTGCTGCTACTACTGTACCTTTGTGTTCTCTTCTTTATCTTTTCAATGATCTAAATAAAGCATTTAAGCCCAGTTAACAATGATTTCTGTCAAATTATGAGTTGAAATAACCAGTGTTTCTGTCTCCTAAGTAATACATTAGTAAACTTATTTTTTTAAGCAAAGGAAATATATACACAAAATCCATGATGTAATTAGACTTTGTGTAGGAAGCAGTGGCTGAGAAAAGGAAGAAAAACAATTAAATGATGGATATTTTTAACTTTTTAGTCCTTAAAGTAGTGTGTTCATAGAGGTTCATTTTATTACCATGTTTTGTCACTTATTTAAATGTGTTATTATTTTATTTTGGAGGATAACTGAAATATGAGACATTTCAAAAATAAAGTAGCATAAACTGTGAGCCACTGAAAAGCAGCCTGTATGAATCCATTCTCACATTGCTATGAAGAAATACCCTAGACTGGGTAATTTATAAAGAAAAGAGATTTGATTGACTCACAGTTCTACATGGCTGGGGAGGCCTCAGGAAACTTACAACCATGGTGGAAGGCACCTCTTCATAGGGCGGCAGGAAAGAACAAGAGCCAAGCAAAGGGGGGAAAGCCCCTGATAGAATCGTCACCCCCATGATTCAATTACCTCCCACCAAGTCCCTCCCACAACACATGGGGATTATGGGAACTACAGTTCAAGATGAGATTTAGGTGGGACATAGCCAAACCATATCAAAGCCAATATGAGTGAATAAAGCCAAAGTGAAGAGTGAGCAGGGATGCATTTCTGAGACTACCATCATCAGTCTCTTCTAGGTATTTTTATTTTTTTCATGAACCAATATGTACTATTTTGATTATGCTGATTTTAGTTGGTGATCTATTATTTAAAAACAAAATAATTTTAAGTACTCTTCAAAATATAGAATGGTATAGTCTAAGTTTCATCCATAAGTCTCTGTTAAACTTAAATAAACCCTAACATAAAACAGTGATGTACATTGATAGTCCATTTATGATTTATCCAGTCTTTCAAATTTAAATTTGATAATAGTATTGATAGCAACAGTAACAGTAACAGCTGAATTTCATTAAGTTTACGATGTGCTAGTGATAAGTTCTTCACCTACATAATATCATACAATCTTCATAAGAATCCTCTGGGTTATGTCCTTCTATCAATCCCATTTTACAGCTCATTGTAAGTGAAATTCCAAAAATTCTCCCCTCTCCCCTCCCGACCCTTCCAAGATTCTGTTTTCCAGTTACTCAATCAGAAAGTAACCTAGGTACTGCTATGAGGAGACTGCAGAGGTAATTAAGATTTCTCAGCAGTTGACATTAAGATAGAGGGAATATCCAGGCAGGCCTAATCTAATCAGATGAGCCCCTAAACGCCTACAATCTTTTCTGGATACCAAAGAAGAGAAAAGCATGAAGGGAACTCAGATTTAAAGCATGAGATGGTCAAGATATGCCATTGATGGTTTGAAGATGGAGAGAAAGAAAGAATGAAAATGATCTTTAGAAGAAGAGAGCACTCTGTTGACAGCCTGGAAAGAAATAGCACCTCAATGCGACAGTCACAAAGAACTGAATTCTGGAGCACCTTGAATGAGCTTGAAAGTGGGTTCTTCCCAACAAGCTCTAGATAAGTGCTTGACTAGCCAACAACTTTTCAGGTTTGAAATACTCTAAGCAGGGTACAGTTGAGCCCACTCCAATTTCTGACCCACAGAACTAAGATTCAATAAATGGACGTTGTCTTACGCTACTGCATTTGTGATAATTTTCTATACATCAATAGCAAACACATATTAAAGTAAATGAACCTGAGAAAGGTTAATTTAGAAACAAAATTAGAAGGATTGTGGAAATTGACCACTTCAGTATGATGCAAACTTTCCTACATTTTGCCACTATGATCATGCAAAACAAACAAACAAGATTGTTTTTGCTATACATTTAAATTTTCTTCTCTTAGTCAACTAACAAATTCCCTCTTTTTTCATAATTACCGACCATTTATAGTCCTTTGCGTCTCTGAAACATCTAGCACTATACAAGCACATGGTTGAAGTTCAAGGAAAGAAAAGTCTCATTAAACTAATTTGAATTCTTAAATTTGATACGTTTCATATTCCAGTCAGATCTCAGCTGAAAAAGATTTTAATGAAGCTTGCATAAATCAGAGTGGCATTACATGGTTTAATAGTTAACTAATCCTTAATTGTGCAGTACTTTGAAATTTAATGACCATTATAGAGAACTCCAACAGGATTAAAATGAACCAGAGAGAGTCATGCTAGAAGAATAAATCAGAAAAATGCATATTACTAATGACAAAAGAGGCATTTTTGTTGCCGCCTTCCTTTGGGAGATTTTGCAGTAAAATTAAAATTGGGTTTATTGTTCCACTGTTTTTGATATTTTCTTTTCCTATTGTTTGTTGACTTGAATTGTCATGTGTTGATGAATGGAACAATAGATATAAATCAATCAAGATTTTTCTGTATACAAGCACAATGGGGCTGAAAAACAAAGGGTGGGGTAGGAAACAACATGATTTGGCCTCCTGACAAAAAGGCTTTTAACACGTTAAAGAAGAAAACATAAGGTGCCTGTAAAATAACAACAACAATAAATACCATACTGAGTTTAATAATTTTATTTTACATTACATATTGTTTTAGAGTCTATAGAAACACTTCAAAATCTTGATCAGATGCATCAATCAGTTGTCGAGCCCCTCCCATAGACCAAGCAGCTGTTTCATGTATTATGTAATCTTTTCAGTATTTCTACAGGGCAAGCAGAGCAAGCATGTTGTTTTCCCAATCTTCAGATGAGAACACAGACACTCAAAATATTCAAGCAACATTCTCAAATGCCAAAAATTTATTTATAACATACTAGGTACACAGCAGTATGAAGCCAGGTATCACTAATATTTCAATGGCTATAGCATTATATCTATGTAAACATCATAAAAGCATCTGATTGGAAAAAAGGCACTCTCCCTAAGAAGTTTCTTTACATATTAACTATATTTACTATACCCAAAGAAGAAGTGTGCCATATAACAATGAGACAGAATATTTAAAACTTAATTACTAGAATATATAAGGCATATAGGTCATAACATATATATAACCACTGTACTTGATAAAAATGAATAACTTCATAATTCAGAGATTTTTGACAAGTTCAAACAATCTATATAGATGCTCTCTTACATAGAAAGATGACTTTAAAAGAGTTAAAATGACCCTTATGCTGGAAGCACAATACCCAGTCTTTTTCACATGAGTTGTCTTATGTATACCAGAAAAAGATAATTTCAATCAGAGAGTGACCAAGATGAATCCGTATGACAGAATCAAATTGGCATTCTGCTTTTGATGCTAAGACAGGGGTCACACTGACCCACAACAAGCCTGGATGCCTCCATAGTGGTTCCTTTCTATTTTAGGGATTTAGAGCATAAGATCGAGTGGCACCAACCCATTGAGTACTTCTACTCTGAATTCACACTCACCAAGCAAGAAACAATTATTAACCCAGCATCCTAATAGATGTAGTTTAAGAAGAAAAGGTTCTGCTCTATCAAAATAAATGTCCAGATTACTTAGCAAAAATAGCCAACTTATTACGCATAATAGATTAGCATCTTGGTGGGCACGTTAGTCTCAGCTGAGCTGAGTCATAGTGTGATTCATTCTTGTTAAAGTGACATAGCTGAGCTGCAGGACCCGCAGATCTGAGGAGCCACCACGCTCTGCCCCTGGCCCATTACACTAATCACAGAAACTCAGATACTATACATCCATTTATTTATAAGAATTTTCATAAAGAATGGTCAGGAAAAGCCACCATTTGCCCAGTAGTACTAGATTAAATTGTTGATCAGCACATATTCCTTAGGGTGGAGTATATACCCCTGTTCCCATGACTTTGTGCTTGGCCATGACTTGTTTGGAACAATGGAATATAAAGGTATAGGACAAGGATAGAGACTAAACATTTCTTTGGTTTCATGTTTCCTCTTGTGCTGCTGTATTCCTTCATAAGAAGGTCAAATTCCAGATGGCTACTGCATCTGCAGGTTGGACCTCAGAATGAGATATATAGAGCAGAAATAAATCTTACCTGCGGCCTGGAGACAAGCCAAGTGGACCCAGCTTAGATCAACCTCGCTTAGCCTAGCCAAGCAAGGAAAATTATTATGTTTTGTTGTAAACCACTGAGATATTCAGTATTTTTGTTACACTGCCAAAATATGTATATGACTAATATATTCTGGTGTTTATTATAATTTTTTGGCCTTTTTACTTTTCTTGATGACCTATTTTCATTTACATTACACTTCTCCCCACATCAGACCCCTGGGATCAATGTCTTTCATTTGCGAAAATGTCTGTTTCTTCCTCTGAGATTTGGTTTTGGGGTTCAGACTTTTTAGTATTTAGATTCCAGCAGGCACCAGTGAACCAGTCTGTCCATGCATTTCTTATGTCACCTCATTGCCTCTGACTGCAATCTTTCATCTTGTTTTCACTTTGCTAAAACTAAAACTCAAAGTTGCATCCTGGCTAGGGTTGCTTTGGGTCCCTACAATAAGATGAGTAAAGCAGAGGCCTAGGACTGTCATGGCCCATCCATGTGAATTCAGCAAGATCAGGTTATTTTTTGATGCCTGAGTAAAAAACCAGCTTCCTAGTTCCATTAGCCTAAACCATAATATTGCTGGCAACAGAGATAAAATCAGAAGCCAGCAAACTCCAAAGCCCTAAAAGATTAACTGGGAAGATGTGAGGTAAAGCATATGGGATACAGCCATCTCCTTTCACAGCACACATTTACTTGTGCCTTCTTTAAGTCCAAATAGTTTCAGTGTAGCGACCAGCTCAATTTCTACAAAAGACTTAATTTAGGTGAGGTAGAATGAGCTACCTTTTCTGCCTGTATTCCCCAAACTCACAATTGTTATTCAGCAACTACTCCTTAAATACCTAATTTTCCTAAGCCCTCTAGATTGCTCATTTAATGGAGCGACCTTGAGTATGATTCTGTGAGGCTATGATTGCCTGTCCTTATAGGGCCATTGTTACCGTAATTACCTATTTATAGTCATCCTTGGATGTGATAGAAAAGGAACTGATCTGGTGGGCTTCCTAGATTCTAGCACTTTCTTTCCTATTCCCCTGCTTAGGTAACAACCCTAGGGAACCAAAGTCAATAGGGTCATTGGGCTTCACCAATACAGTAACACCTTATCTTGTCTCATGGACCTTCTTCATGCCCCATATGACAGGGTAGAATGTGCAGTTTTCAGTTCAGTGGCATTTTCCCAGTGTGTTATGATAGAAGCTGTCCTTCCTTGGGAACAAGGGGTTCTAATCAGCTGAGCTAAAGTTTTAAGGTTAAGAAGCACAAGTTTCACAAACGAGATGTGAGTAGTCTGTTGAGAAGGACCAATTCTACTTTAACCATTTGGACCACAGATCCATGCAATCCAGCTCATGGAGCATGCATAAAAGATATGCTATCTGTGTGCATATGCAGCATTCTGGAATAGGCCACCCCAACCCTTCAGTGTGTTTTTCAGCTGACCACTTTCCACTGATTTGGAATACATTATAATCATGCTTGTTGTTGCTATTCCTTTGCCATAAAGTGGGTTCCTGGCTCTAAAATAGTGTTGAGGAAGATTCTGTAAACTTAGATAAAATTTTCTCTGAGTTCTTAGATGGTGATGTGGTAGAAGCACTGTGAGTTGGTAAGCAAACCCCTATCAGTCTTCTAGGTTAACAGTATCTGCTTAGAAGTTCTATCATTCAGATTTTTGTCTGCCAGCTCTTTCCTCCAAATGCTACATGGATGATTGACAGAATTTGTGAGTTACATAATCTTGTGGTGGTAGAGAGGAAAGAATTGCGGGGACAGTGGGGGTGGGGGACGTGCTTCAATACGGGGAGCAACTGCATCCTTTCTGGTCTCTGCTTCAGGGGATTTTGTTTGTTGCTTGCATGTTTGTTTTGCTGGCTGCACAGTGGACTGCAGAGCAGTGATGTGAGACCCCCCTTGGGTATTCTGCTGGTGGCTGCTGCTGAGGTCTGTTCCTGAGTTTACGTGTGGTGTGATGTTGCCAGCTGGAAGGTGGTAGGGAGAAAAATATTCTGCTGAATAGACCTCACCTCAGCCCACTCCCCTAACTGTGATGGCCGTATGGTTCCCAGACAAGGAGGTTGCCCCCAAAATCCTTGGCAACATTCACAGTTCTCTGGGACCCTCAGCATTTCATTCTGACTTCGGTGTCTCCCCATATCCTGCTAAATGCCACATGCTGGAATAGAGGGGCAAAGACTCTTTCCTGAGAGACAAAATAGGCTCCTCCTCTGCTTGACCAAACGTTGTTCACCAAACCACTTGGATATGGCTGCCCTTAGTTTGATGGAAGGGTTGAGAAAATAGAAAAGGGTAAAGGTGGAGGGCTGCCAGGCATCCCCTACTAGGGTTCCACACAGGGAGTGAGCAGAGGGACCATAGCCCTGGTGTCCTCATCATCCTGTACAGCCCATCTCACACTCCCCTTTGCCTCTGGGATTTCCACTGTGTATTATATTCTTCTCTCATGCTAAGATGCATATGTGTATGTGAGGGTTAATTTTAGGTGTCAACTTTACTGGATTACTGGATACCCAGATAGCTGAGAAAGCATTATTTCTGGGTACATCTGTGAGGGTGTTTCTTGCACAGATTGGCATTTCAATCTGTGGCCTGAATAAGGGAACTCTACCCTTACCCAATGTTGTTGGGCACAATCCAATCAGCTAAAGACCAGGATAGAAGAAAAAGGCAGAGAAAAGATGAACTTTTATTTTCTTCTTTTCTGGCAGAGAAAAGATGAACTTTTCTCCTTTGTTCTTTTTCTTTCTTTTTTCTTTTCTTTCTTTTCCTTCTTTCTTTTTTTCTCTTTCTCTTTCTCCTTCCTTCCTTCCTTCCTTCCTTCCTTCCTTCCTTCCTTCCTTCCTTCCTTCCTTCCTTCCTTCTCTTTCTTTCTCTCTTCTGGAGCTGAGACCCCCATATTCTCATGCCCTTGGACATCAGAACACCAGGTTCTCCAGCCTTCAGATGCCAGGACTTGCACCAGCAGTCCCCTAGTTTCTCCAGCATGTAGACAGCATATTGTGGGACTTCTCAGCTTCCATACTGATGTGGGCCATTTACCTTAATAACCCCCCTGCCATGTATGTGTATATATATATCATTGGTTCCATTTTTCTGGAGAACCGTGACGTGCACAATGTGTTTCACAAAACAGTATTCTCGATGTGAGTGGTGCATTCAATCCGCATCCTATTCTACTTAATTCTGTTGTGTCCTAATCAATCACTAAGGAAAAACAAACTGAAAAAAAAAATCCCACCAAAAACAACACACAAAACTTGTCTTAATACTACTCAATTGACTTTCTGACACATAATAATGGATCACAATCTGCAGTGTGGAGGGACTTGGAAAACCCTTTTCTTTCCTAACACGACTAGTTGTTTTTGTTGTTATTGTTACGAAACAGCTAGTCACTAAAGAAACTCAGTTTCAAAACTCAAGGCTTCTTGGTGGCCTCTGTGTTCTAGGAAATAGCATCACTTTCTCCTTCGCAAGAGCAATGAACTTCAGGGTTTGGCCCAGAAGTGGAGGACTGCACAGGGGCCCACCTTGGGGGTAAATTAAAGTGAATGGGTTTAATTTTTGCAAAACATTATCCTCATTATAGGATCTTCTATTATCTCAGTGTGGGAGAGCCAGAAATAAGGTAACATATGCCAAATGTCAAATCCCAAATCTGGTTACTTGCCTTTCTTTTCTTTTTTTTTTTTTTTGTTTTTTTTTTCTTTTCACTGCCCACTGAATAAAAGTCCCTGTGTTCATCAAATGGGCCTCTGGACTTAGATCCAATTATAGCCAGCACGAAAAAAGGATACACTATTAGGGAAAAGTAGCTGGAATGGCCCCAATTCATAGGGGATTAGTTCCAGGATCACCTGCAGCTACGGAAATCCATGCCTACTCAATTCCAGCAGGCCTGCCTGTGGGCCCTGCAGCTAAGAAATGCTGGTCCTCTGTGGAGGTGAGTTTCACATCCTGCCAATTCTGAATTTTGTTTTTACCTTTGGTTGTGGATGCAGAACCCACTTATACAGAGGCCAATTGTATTTATTGAAAAAAAATTACTTAGAAGTAGAGTCCCCCAGTTCTAACCTGTATTGTTCAAGGGTCAGCTGTTCTTTTTCTCACCCCCATCTTGAATACAAACTCTAAGGGAAAAAACTAAGTATCTGAAGTTCATCAGAGAACAACATAAAAACTCAACAAGGCTTGCTTGGTTTATAAAAGGACACAGTGAAACCTTCCAGGCCAAAGGTTGCCACAGTGAGCTTCTTCCCCAGATACTTTTTGCCCCCGTTCATGTCACCATAACTCTTAGTCCATCATATGCATATGGATGGGCGTGGCTTAGGGACCACATCAGAAGGGGTGAAAACATGATTAGTGGGCGGGTTTTTAAACTGTTATATTTAGATTCTAAAACTTCTTTGTGAAATTGACTCTGCATAAGATCAGGCGGGGATCTTACTCCAATGGCATGTGGTAGTCCAAGTAACTAATAAAGTTTGTTAGGATTCACCAGCCAAACGTATTTATTTCACATTTCAATATGCCCATAGGGTTCAATTTTAAAGGGAGTGATGTGGCCTGGAAGCTGTCACAGTCAGTTTCAAGGGACAATCACAGCTTCAGCCACTCCATATTTATTCGTAATGTATTACAGATAGGACTGTTTCCACTTCCTTCCAAGGAAGGAAGGAAGGAGGGAGGGAGGGAGGCAGGGAGGGAAGGAAGGAGAAAGAGAAAGAAAATAAATAAATAAATAAATAAATAAATAAATAAATAAATAAATAAATAAAGAAGGAAGGAAGGAGAAAGGAAGAGAAAGAAAAAAAGAAAGAAAGATGAGAGAAAGAAAGAAAGAGAGGAAGAAAGAAAGAAAAGAAACAAAGAAGGAAAGAAAGAAAGAAGGAAGAAAGAAAGAAAAAGAAAGAAAGAAAGAAAAGTTCATCTTTTCTCTGAAAAGAAGAAAATAAAAGTTCATCTTTTCTCTGAAAAGAAGAAAATAAAAGTTCATCTTTTCTCTGAAAAGAAGAAAATAAAAGTTCATCTTTTCTCTGAAAAGAAGAAAATAAAAGTTCATCTTTTCTCTGAAAAGAAGAAAATAAAAGTTCATCTTTTCTCTGAAAAGAAGAAAATAAAAGTTCATCTTTTCTCTGAAAAGAAGAAAATAAAAGTTCATCTTTTCTCTGAAAAGAAGAAAATAAAAGTTCATCTTTTCTCTGAAAAGAAGAAAATAAAAGTTCATCTTTTCTCTGAAAAGAAGAAAATAAAAGTTCATCTTTTCTCTGTCTTTTTCTTTTATCCTGGTCTTTAGCTGATTGGATTGTGCCCAACAACATTGGGTAAGGGTAGAGCTCCCTTATTCAGGCCACAGATTCAAATGTCCATCTGTGCAAGAAACACCTTCACAGATATACCCAGAAATAATGCTGTCTCAGCTATGTGGGTATCCAGTAATCCAGTCAAGTTGACACCTAAACTTAACCCTCACATACACATGTAGAAAGATGTTAAAAAATAAATAAATGAATAGGTGAATAAATAGATACATATGTAAACATACTGTCAACTAAGATGAGGATTGGTATGTTTCGTTAATTGATATGTTTACTGCAGAAAATCTTAGAGCCTTTTAGATGCATCCTAAATACCCAGTGAGGATTAAAATACGCAGATACTTCAACATGTTGACCATTCCCTCTGTTGATAAGAATGTTGCTTGGAACACACTCTGGAAACCAGTGATATAGACACAAGAACATACACTATGGCCAAAATCAGAACTGAGTTTGTAGTGAAATGATAACACTGTTTCTTTAGCTTTACACAGAAAGGATAGTCATAGTTTGTATTATCTAAATTTGTTTTTTAAAAACTATTAGTTTCTTTCATTGTAGCAATACTAAAATCAATATATAATGCATTTCTCTCATTCTTCATAAAAATATTCACATATCCCCTACTTTTCATGTCCAGCAAACATGCTAATCCCTCTTGTTTTCTTCAATCTTTTTTCTCCAGTCTCCAGGCAAGTCTCATTGTTGAATGCTAACTTTTCAACCTGCAGATAAAATATTCTTGGATGAGTCTGTCCCTATAATTATTTGCTGTATAGTCTTTCATTAAAATATTAGCAAATTGTTGACAATCTCTTTTGCATACTAATGAACTATTCATCGACAATTCTCAGTGGCTGTGTTCTTAGTGCATGTTTTAAAGTAAATAATGCTGACTTATCATTTGACAAACCTGCTGTTGAAATACTTCCATTTTCTACCCACCAGCTGTCCTCTCTGAGAGGTAGATGTCATGAATCCCAGGATGAGGATTATATAGTACCACCTATTCTGTTAGGATATTTTATTTCTAGGCTTTAGAGTGTCTAGTAGTGAGCTTAAATATTATATCACTGAGCTATTGATTAGAATGGATTTTGTCATTCATTCTAACCTGCAGAGATCCAAACTGTATTTATAATTAATTGTAAAGAAACGGAACACAAAGGTGACAGCAGCTACTATGCTTTTATAATATTATCTTTTTTTGAAAAGAAATACGGTTATTAACATTGAGTCCCACATGTACCCTAGTGAGAAAGCAACAAATAACAATCCCTCACTATTGGTAAATAAAATCACATCCCTTCATTGTGTTGTCTATAAAATATTTTTGAATGCCTACTACATGTAAGTTACTGTATAATATGTACAGATATGTAATATCTGTTTAGTTTGAATAAATATATTCACACAATGAATATATATATAATTCATATATATATATATATATATCTGCCATTATCTATTCCTGTGATATTATCTATTTCTGTGACATATCTATTCCTGACATTAAGTTCAACATATAATTGTTGCCTGGAAATCGGAATGCTTTTTCCCAACTGTATACTGTGCTGAGATTTTGGGTAAAATAGGTCACAGGAGGTGTCTGGCCCCAGTGGTAGCTGAGGTGATGTCAAGTCAACATTAAGTATTGAGAGGAAAGACTGGTCCATTAGCTCCACAGGATTCGAGGCCAGCAGCAGAATGAAGCGGATTAAGGTGCTGTCAACCCATTCAGAAAATAGCAAGACTCTAGCATTGCTTTGCTATCAAGTGGAACTGGGTACTTTTCTTCTTTTATATTGTATACAATAGTATTTTGATTGTCATAACTACTCAAAAGGATACCATTTTCACAAGCAGACCATACTAAAAATATGTAATGAGAATTATACTTTCATTTTCCTTGCTCAAGGACTGTAGCTCTAGCTGTACTTGGACCTATCCATAAATACCATGGCTTTCTCACTTCTGCCTTTACTTATCTTCTTGTTCTGTTTGAATCTCAGGTTTACCATTCAGAATACTCTCACATGTGCTACTTCAATCCATTTGCCCCTTTCTTCTTTCTTCACACACAAGAAAATATTTCTAGATAAAATGAACCTCTGTGTGCTTGTAGCAGAATAACTGAACCTCACTGGAGAAAATCACACAGCCTGGAAGATTGAATTTGGTTTAATTTTATGATTTCATACTTCTAATAGCTCTCTGAGCTGCCCAGAATACATATTACCCTACTTTCATAATCTTGCTCTCTTCTCTTTCTTTGAGATGAGCATTTCACCCCTTCTCCTTTCCCCCCGAGACATCTTATTGTCATTGACCTCTTCCCTCTCAGCGGTTGATCTAATTTGGAAACCGAATGACATCACAAAGTGGCACTTCATTTTGGATGCAGCTGGAGGAATTCTCAAAGTCTGAATTGCAGAGCTGGGCAGACTTTTAACTATTTCATGGCATTTGCCAGTGTCCTTTTCCCTGCTCTACCTTATCTCTTTCACTGTCTGTGCCTCGAGTACCAAAAGGACATATTTGTCTACATTAAGATGTGACTCATAGAGTGTATTTATTATGTGCTGCTAGCTGGATTAACTATCAAACTTTTCTTTTTTCTTTTTTTGCTATTTATATGTTTGTCTCTTAATCCATGATTGAGGGACAAGCCCCTGAGTGCTGGCAGGGAAGGCCACCTGAGAAAATGACACATACGGAAGACTCTGAGACTACTAGAGCAGAATTTGAAGGAGCTGGAGGTCTGCAACAGTGATCGAAAAGAGCAAAATAATTACGATTCTGGCAAAAAGTTTACTCCTCAAATTTGTTTGCTTAAGCTAGCGGTTATGTCAATCAATAGCAGAGATAAAAAGTTTTAAGTGTTCACCATAATATATAAACATACACAAAAAATTGCTTCTACAAATTATTTTGGAAAATTCTATTATTTACACTTAAGACATTTTGTTAAATATAGCCTTAACTGATGTTTGAATTTTATATGTTTTTCATCTTCAGGACTACCGTATAGCAACAAATTGCCAGGCATGGGGGCTCACACATGTAATCCCAGCACTTTGGGAGGCTGAAGTGGGAGGATCACTTGATGTCAGGAGTTTGAGACCAGCCTGTCCAACATGATGAAACCCCATCTCTACTAAAAATATAAAAATTAGCTGGGTATGGTGTCGGGTGCCTGTAATTCCAGCTACTTGGGAGGCTGAGGCAGGGGAATCGCTTGAACCCGGGAGGCAGTGGTTCCACTGCACACCAGCCTAGGCGACAGAGTGAGACTCCATCTCAATAAAAAAATTTCAATCATTAAAATGTTTGTGTGGAGGTTTATGAAAATATAATGTCCGTCTTCACTGCTAAGCTCTGACTCAGAGACAATAAATTTATTTGTTTACTCATTCTTACAAGAATAATTATTTAATATTTATAGAGTGACTACACTATTTCATGTTTTAATTTTCTTCTAGATTTTGATACTTCAGATATAATCATAGCATATAACACATAACGTTGTCTTGAAGGAGCTTATATTCTATGGAAGGGGATGTACCACAAACCTATAATTATACGTTTGTAGATGCATTTATGTATACATATTGTGATAATATGTATATGTTTATAGATGCATTTGTGTATATACATTGTGATAAAATTCCAAGAGGAATATAAAATGGAGCCAGGCAAAAGGGAGTAGAGAGTAAGGGGGATGGGTCACTGTATCATATAGAATACTCAGCAAAGGCCTCAGCAAGTAGGCTGTGTTTGATTAGAGACTTAAAGTAAAGAAGAACGTAAACCCAGAAAATACAAAACCAATACCATAGTGTGTAAAGACACTAAGGAGGATGCATGCTAAGTGTGTTTGAGAAGCAGTGAGGAGGCCATTGCAACTGGAGTACAGTGATTGAGAGAGTGAGTCATGGAAATTGGGTGGAGGAGAATCACAGGCATCAGATCATGGGGGTGCTTTGCAGACAGCTACAAAAGTGTCGGCTGAGATGAGAAAATGTAAGAGAATTTTCAGAAAAAAGTAGCATAATCTGATTTAAGATTTATAGGGTTCCTACTCTGGCTGCTCTGTTGAACATACACTAGAGGACAGGATGGCAAGAGAGACCAGCAGGGAGGTTAAAGAGCTAGTACATTTAAAGTAAGAAATAACAGTGCAGTCAGGATGGTGACAGGGGAGGAAATGAGAATAATGAATATACTCAGATTCATTTCAATGGTAGGTCCAATGGGATTTTTTGATAGATTAGCAGTGAGTGGAAAGAAGAGGCAAAAAATGGGTGATTAGTTGTGTAATGAACTGAGATAGAGAAGACTGAAGGAGCAGATTGAAGTAGGAAAAGCAAGATATATTTTTTTAATATGTTAAGTAGAGATGTCTTGAAGGTGGTTGTGTAGTAAGGTCAAGTGAGTAATTTGATTAATAAGTCTAGAGTTTGGGGGAACATATAAACTAGAGATCTTTAGATGGTAGTTGGACTATGAGTTTACAGTTGGGAGTAAAATTTGGACTATGTATATATATGCTACAAATTTGAGATTTCTCAGCATACATACAGTATTTAAGTTCATATGAATAAAAGAAATCTCCTAGGAGTAAGTATGGTAGAGAATTGAGGAAGTCTGAGGATGGGTCACTCCAGCATTGGAGAAGGAAAGAAAGTAGATAAATCAATGTGGTAGTGAAAGCATGTGGATGTTGTCTTATAATTGTTTCTGTTTTCTCAATATGATAGGTAGAAGCATATTAGATAAGAGTGAAAATAAAAGCAGTAAGTGAGGTTTTGGAAATTTTAGGCGAGAGGATGAATCATAAGATAACCATCCTGGAGATCAAAAGATTGAATGGACTGATGAAATAATGAAGAATTGACAGCAGTATTAATAGTCAATTTGAGATTGGGTATCTTTGAATCATAGAGTTACCATGAAACCATAGCTTGCTTCATTTTTCTCCAGCCATGCTTTAATATGGGGCTGCTGAAACAGGATAATGCCAGAACGTTCATTTCACTAGGATAAGAGATTCATTTGGTGAGGGAAGAGAGGGTAGTATGTGGAAATTTGATTTAAATGAACTATAACAATGATGGGCCATGGACTCTAAATGGAAATAAACATCATGTAAGGTCATGAGTAGTGTAAGAAGCAATAATGATGTGGCAAGATCAATGAAATGTAGATTTCTGGTGGACAAATACATTGTTGGAATTGGGTGTCAGTAAAAAATAAGTTAGAATAAGAGGTGATAGAAAATGAAAAACTTGGAAATCAGATTATAAAGAGTATGCAAATATTGCAGTGAGTTCTAGAGTATTATTTTGGGTGTTTTTCCTTGATATAGGAGTTATATACCATCACTGAAGTTCAAAATTATTTAAATAAATAAGAAACAAAATAGATAATTAATACCCAAATATGATAAATTCACAATGTCTGAAATCCAATACAAAATTATCAGAGGAACAAGTAAAATGGGGCCATTATTAGGAGAAAAAGCAATCAATATCATCAGACCAAAAAAAAATCACACAGATAATATAATTCATAGATGTTAAAACACCTGATATGAATATATTCTATATGTCTAAGAATCTGGAGAAAATATAAACATGTTTTGGAAGCTACTGAAACATATAAAGAGGATCCAAATTGAACTCCTAGATACTAAAAAGTGCATTATCTGAAAGCCAGGTGAGGTGGCTCACGCCTGTAATCCCAGCACATTGGGAGGCTGAGGCAGGTGGATCACTTGAGGCCAGGAGTTCAAGACGAGCCTGGCTAACATAGTAAAACTTTGTCTCTACCAAAAATATAAAAAAAGAAAAAAATTAACTGGGCATGGTGGTACTCACCTTGTAATCCCAGCTACTCAGGAGGCTGAGGCAGGAGAATCATTTGAACTCAGGAGGCAGAGGCCTTAGTGAACCAAGATGGCACCATTATGCTGCAGTCTGGGCAAAAGAGCAAGACTCTCTCTCAAAAAAAGGAAAAAAAGAAAATGTTTGTAAAACATATCTGATTAAACATGTGCATCCACAATATACAACTAAGACTCAAAACTCAATAATAAGTAAATAAGAGATCTATTTAAAAAGTGGACAAAAGACTTGAACAGACATTTCACTGAAAGAGATGTAAAAATAGCAAATAAGCATATGAAAAAATGGTCAACATCATTAGTCGAGGGTAAATGTGCAGTAAAATAAAATTTCATGCCTATAAGAAAGACTTAAAAACAAAAAACCTGAATGTACCTATTGCTGGAGAAGGTGCAGAGTGACTGGAATTCACACACGTTGCTGGTAGGAACACAAAATGATACAGCTAATTTGGAAAAGAGTTTGGCATTTTCTTACAAATTTAAACATACATTTACTATATGATCTAGTGCTTCTACTTCTAGATATTTGTACTAGAGAAATGAATACTTAGATTCACACAAAAACATAATCACCAAAGTTGTGAAACTTCAAATATCTTTCAATTTGTCAATGGGTAAACAAATAGTGGTACATCCATACAATGGAATGCTAACAAGTAATAAAAGATGACATATTGTTACACAGAACAGCATGGAAGAATCTCAAATACATTATACTAGGTGAAAAAAGCCAACATTTACATTATATATGATTTCTTTATATGACAATCTGGAAAAGAAAAAAGTCACAAGGATAGAAAAAATAAAAAAGATCAGTGGTTACCAGAGCCTAATGGTTAATGGAGGGCTTCACCACATAGGAGAAAAATGGATCTTCTAGGCTGATGAACATTTTTAATATCTTGATTGTGGTGGTGGGCAGGACTGACTGCATTTGTCAAAACTTATGAGCTGTACACTCATGTGTGTGAATTATACCTTAATAAATCTAATTTAATTATTGGAAATATAATCTATGTGGATATTACACTGACCAGAAATTAAAATAGTTAGAATATTAGTGAGAATAGCAATGAGTCAGGTACTACAATCCCTTATAAATAAGAACTTTGGGGTTTGTAAGGTGATTCACACTAAAGTGTTAGTGTGGTACTGCCTGCTTCCATGAGTTCCAATGAGGTTAAATCAAAGGAGGGGGGTTGAATTGAAGCTTTGGCAACGGCAGTAAAAAGGGAAACTCCTTGAGTTGCATGAAAGGTGTGGAGAAGTAAATAATCATGGTTTCGAGAAAATTTCAGGAGAAGTAGCAATCTCCACGGTGAGCCAGGTTCCAGTTAGAGCAAGAAGGGCAACAAAACACAAGGAATGATGTTGAGATGTCAGATAATGTACTGGTGTCCTAAAAGTAGAGTGGAAATGTTTAGGAGGTTTGTGGTGAATGGAAGACTGGTCACTTTAAAAACACACAGAACCACATGGGAGCGAGAATCCAAGGGATGCAGAGTTAACTAGGTTTGTAGAGTTTATGCTGGCAAATGGCTTCAATGGCAATAAAGTTCATCATAAGACTCTGGTACTTGTGGCTCTGAGTATGAGTGAGGAGGAAGAGTAGAGATTGCCCATGAGAACACAGAGCCCTGGAGGTCCCTCTTCCATTGTTCTCATAATGCTGACTATATAGAAGCAGGGGAGGTCTCCCCAAGGTCACATGGAGGTTTTTGGTTGTGTGTGTGTGTGTGTGTGTGTGTGTGTGTGTGTGTATATATATTCATACGTATATATACACACAGATGTATATATAAACACACACGTATATGCATATATATGTATATACACACTGTAAGGTTCTTGTATCGGTTCAAACCCCAAGAGCATGCCAACAGACAACACAAGGTGGTGTGGAGCAATATACCGTTTTAATGAGTGCCTGGCTGCAGGCAGGCTGAGGCCTAAAATGGCGTCAGCCCTAAGTGAGGATGGGACAAAGGTTTTTTAGTCTCCTGTAAACAGGAAGTGTTCTCGCCTGACGTAACTGCTAGGTTGTACCTGGATGGCCTCTTTCTCGATCTTCAGGGGTGCGTGTCTTCCGGCCAGCTCTCTTCCTGCTTCTGCTCTCTTGCTGATGCACCCTGCTGGCGCCAAGTGGCCTTGTGTCTTGGGACTGGGCCTGCGAAGGGAGGAGTTATTCATCTCCTTAAGCTTTCAGGCCCTGTGGAGGAGGATCTTACGTTCCTATTTGGTTATAGAAAAAAGGGAAAAGGGACGACTTTCTCAATAACTAATGCAGGCGTGACATAGCGGGTGGCATGGGCACCTTAGAAAAAGAAAAACTTTCATTTTTTGGGTATTCTTGAGAGACGGGTTGGTATCCACCGTGTCGTTGTAGCAGGAGCATCATCTGGATTGTCTGGAATCACGCCTGTGCCTGCAAAACAGTTATGTTGAGAGGACAAGGAGGTGTCAACAGGGAGAGGCATGGCCTCATTCGCTGCTTCATGAATGAAAGACCATGTCTGGATTAAGGAGGGGAGGTAATTGCTGAGTGGCTCAGAGTCTGGTAAGGGTGGAGGCCCCAAGAAAAAGGTTCAGCCATACATGATTTCAAAGGGACTATAAAAAGAGGGTGCCTTTGGTTTTGTGTGGAGTCTTATAAGGGCAAAAGGGAGATTTTTTGTCCATGATTGACAGGTTTATAGACCCAGGTTAGAAAGTTGGGTTTTAAGGACAGAGTTAATTTTTTCAACTTTGCCTGAAGATTGAGGCCTGTAGGGTGTGTGGGGATCCTACTTTATTTTTAAGGATGTAGAGATGCCTTGGGTAACTTGGCTGATGAAGGCAGGCCTGTTATTGACTGAATGGATGTTGGGAGTCTGAAATGGGGAATTATATGCATGATAAGGGTTTGTGTGATGGCATTTGCACCTTCTGAAGTTGTTGGGAATGCTTCTACTTACCTGGAGAAAGTACAGAGACTAGAAGATAGCAGAGCTGTTTATTGGGCAGCATGTGAGTGAAGTCTACTTGCCAATCTTGCCCAGGTATCTGGCCTCCAGCTTGGTGGGTAGGAAAAGGCAGTGACCGGAGGGAGCCCTGGGGTGAAACTGAGTGGCAGATAGAGCAGGCCTGGGTAATTTCTCGAACACAAGTGAGAATAGGGCAGATAAATTGCAAGAGAGGTTTGTAACCAACATGGCAAGAGCTGTGGAGGCTTTGGAGGTGAGGAAGGCTTTGAGAGTGAGGAAGAACAAAGCACCCTTCCTTGATGTACCATGGTCCTTGCCTTTGAAGGTTCTGGGCCTGGAAGTCCTCCTTTTCTTCTGAGGAGTAAAGAGGAGAGAATAACGACAGGGACAGAAACTGGCCTTGCACGGGTTGTAGGGCTACTTGTTTGGCTACCTGATCTGCTAAAGCATTTCCAGCTGATATAGGATTGTCCGGGGTTTGGTGGCCGCTGCAATAAATGATGGCAACTTTCTGTGGTAGCCTGGCAGCTTAAAGGAGCTTGCTGATGAGAGAGCCATTTATGACGGGAGTGTTTTTTGCAGTTGGGAAACCTCGATCTTTCCAGATGAATCGAGTATGAGTGCACTATGTGGAACGCATAACGAGAATTTGAATATATGTTGATCTGTTGCCTGACTGCTAGAGTGAGAAATCGAGTGAGGGCGATGAGTTCAGCTTTTCGGGAGGTGGCGCCTGGGAGGAGCAGATTCGCTTCAATAGTGTGCGGGGGGGCAGTGACACTATAGCATAGCCAGCATGCCGGAGCCCTTGATGTAGGAAGGATTTGCAATCTACAAACCAAGTAAAGGAGGCATCTGGAAGGGGTTGGTCTGTTAGGTTTGGAAAAGGTATAAGAAAGGTTTGAAAAATGTTTACACAGCAGTGTGTAGGGTTTTGGGCAGTTGTAGCTTCAGGTAAGAGTGTGGCCAGGTTTAGACAGGAGCTGGTTAGCATGGTGATTTGAGGTGATTTGAGGGGTTTCTATGAATAGAGCATACAGTTGGAGGAAATGTGGGGCAGAGATGAGACTTAGTACACTGTGGCGAGCTAGCATGTCTTTGATGTTATGGGTTGAATAAACTGTTAGGTTGGCATGGAGAGATAATTTTAGGCTTTCAAGGGTGAGTACAGTAGCTACCGCCAATGCCTGGAGACAGGCAGGCCATCCAAGAACTGTGGCTTCAAGCTGTTTAGAGAGGTAGGCAATAACCTGGAGGGTGGTTCTCTTTGACTGGGTTAGAACACCCAGTGCAACTCCACGCATTCATCAGTATAAAGGAGAAAGGTTTGGTGAGGTATGGGAGAATGAGGACGTGGGCTGAGATGAGAGCCTTTTGGAGTAGATGGAAAGGTTGGGTAATAGCCTGTGCAGGGTTTAAAGGCTCATGGAGACGGCCTTTAGTAGCATGGTATAATGGTTTGGCAAGAGAGCAAAGGAGGGAACTTTGAGCCTAAAATATCTTACTAGTCCTAGAAAAGAGAGAATATCTTGCTTAGTTTGTGGAGGCGGGAGGGACTGGAGGAAGGATATGTGGTCAGTTGTGAGACTTTGGGTTCACGGGGTAAGAGCTAGGCCTAGATAGGTGACTGAGGGGGTGCATATTTGTGCTTTCTTAGGGGAGACTCAGTACCTCTGTTCTGCCAGGAAGTTTAAAAGAGAGAGATAGCATGGACATTGCACTCTCCTTGAGAGGGGCTACATAGGAGCAGAACATTAACACATTGAAGGAGAATGGACAGTTTTAGAGATAAGGTACAGAGGTCGTGAGCAAGGGCCTGTCTAAAAGGTGGGGGCTGTTTCTGAAACTTTGAGGTAGTACACACCAGGTGAGCTGGCGTGAAAGGTGGGTGTCAGGATCTTCCTACGTAAAGGCAAATAAGTTTTGAGAATCAGGGTGTAAAGGAATTGTGAAAAAAGCATCCTTTAGATTTAGAACAGAAAAATGGGTGGTACTGGAGGGAATTGCAGAAAGTCAAGTGTATGGGTGAGGAACTGCTGGACATACTGGGAGTACAGCTTGGTTAATGAGCCTGAGGTCCTGGACTAAGCATTAAGTTCCATCTGGCTTTTTAACGGGTAGAATTGGTGTGTTAAAAGTGGAGTCTGTTGGGCGGAGTAGGTGACTGGCGAGGAGGCCAGAAATGATAGGCTTTAGGCCTGTGAGAGCTGCTTGGGGGATGGGATACTGCTTCTGTGATAGGAACTGGGTGGGGCTTTTAAGGGTAATGCGAATGAGGGTGTGGTGTTTTGCGACTGAGAGTGTGGAAGTATCTTAAACAGTGGGGTTAACTATGGATGGGGGATAAGGAAAAGTTGCATGTTTTAGGGTGGGAGGTCGAAGGAGTAGAAGAAAGTTAGAAGCCTTGGAGGGATCTGGGTTGATGCGTTGGGTACTATGGGGAACATGGAAGTGGAGAGTAGTATGGAGTTTTGAAAGGATGGCTCTGCCTAGGAGCGGAGCTGGGCATGAGGGCAGGACTAAGAAAGAGTGAGTGAAGGAAAAGGTGTGCAGGGAGCAGAAGAGTGGAGGGGGACTCGGGGTTTGGAGATTTGTCCATCAATTCCTACAACAGAGACATGAGAGGACTGGGTGGGTCCTGAAAAATTAGGTAAAGCAGAGTAGGTGGCCTTGATATTAATTAAAAAACATACTGGCCTACCTGTCACTATCAGGGTTACCTTTGGCTTGAATGAAGCAATGGTAGTTGCTGGGGCATCCATTCCAGGGCACCATCAGTCTTCAGCGGCAAGGCGGAAGAGATCCAAGTAGGAGGTTTTGGTCACCTCAGGGAAGGATGGGGGCAGTCCTTGCAGGAGCTGCTCACAGTCCGACTTCCAGTGGGGTCCTCCACAGAAGGGGCACAGGCTGGTGGGCTTACCTGGGTTTGGGCATTGTTTGGACCAGTGGCCTTCATTGCTGCACTTGAAACAGGCACCAGGTGGAGGTGGATTGCTAGGAGGCTTCTTTGTGGAGCTGCGGCCTCAGGGACCTGCAGGGCCTCTAACGGTGGAGGCAAACATTTGAAACTCTGCCTGTTTTTGCCTTTTACTTCCTCATCACAATTGTTAAAGACTTTGAAGGCTAAATTAAGAAGGTCTCGTTGTGGGGTTTGAGGGCCGTCATCAAGCTTCTGAAGCTTGCACCAAATATCAGGGGTGGATTGGGAGATGAATCGAAGGTTTAAAACAGTGGTTCTTTCTGGGCTGACTGGGTCTGGGTTGGTGTACTTTCTCATGCCTTCAGTTACATGAGAGAGAAAAAGGGCTGGGTTTTCGTCAGGACCTTAGGTGATTTCTGAAAGTTTTTCATAGTTTACCACTTTATGGACAGCTTTTTTGAGTCCTGCAAGGAGACACACAATCCTGTGGTCTGGACGGTGGCGTCTAGAGGCCCCGTCTTGATAATCCTAGTGGGGGTCCTGGTTGGGGACTGCCTCTGTGCCAGTAGGCTGGGCAGGAGCTTGGTGATGAATTGTATCAGCATGCTCCTGAACTGGGGTCCAGATACGGTTTTGGTCTTCTGAGGTGAGGGTGGAAGAGAGGATAATGTAGAGGTCATGCCAGGTTAGTTCATAAGACTGGGTAAGGTACTGAAACTCCTCAATATAAGAGGTAGAGTTTTCTGGAAATGAACTGCGACTGTTGTTAATTTGAGAGAGATCAGTGAGGGAGAAGGGAACATGAACTCTATCAATACCTTCAGTTTCTGCTACTTCCTGAAGGGAGCACTCTAGCACCAGCACTGAAGTAAGAGTCAACGATGGTGCCTGAGCGAGTATAGGCGGTAGTGAAAGAAGAAGCTGGAAATGGTTCCTTCTGAGGGTTTGAAGGGGGAAGGGGGGTTGAGTTGATAGGTAATGGAGGATAGATAGGGGTGTAAGGTGGCATGATGGGTTTACAGGCTTCAGGAGAGGGTGGTGGGGGAGGAGAATGGGTACAGGCAATACTAGAATTGTCTTGAGGAGGGGACGGTGTAGGAAAAGGAGTGGGTACTTTTGGAAGTGATGCCGGCTGGGAAGATGGTGGGGAAGATGGCGGGGAAGATGGCAGCTGAGAAGATAACAAGGAAGATTGGGGAGTTAAAGAAGACAGTTGAGAGGGAGAGGTAGGGGCTGGGAGTGGTGGACAGCAGTCAGCTGAATTGAATGAGGAAAAAGAGTTAGGGTCGGAAGGAGAAAGGCAATCAGGGCGGTGAGAATGGAGGAGAAGGATTTGAACAGGTAAGCCAGAATTGCAGAGGTCGGGTTGTGATCTGAGTGCAAAACGGCCTGGACATAAGGAATTTCTGCCCATTTTTCCAGTAGTCGGCAATAATTGCTTAAGTCAGTTAAAACTGTAAAGTCGAATGTTCTATTTGCAGGCCATTTGGACCTGTTATCTAATTCAGACTGCAGTCAGGCTGTATTGCAAAAAAGATAAGGCGCTTAGGGTGGATATCTTGCCTGAGGCCTAAGGTTTACAGGCTTTTTTATGGGGCAGCCTAGAGGGCTGTTTTTTGGAATGGAGGACTGGGAGTTTCCGATAACCGAGGGTCAGCTTGGGAGAACAGGGAAAAAGGAGACCGTCCTGGACGGCTGGAGGGAGACGATAAAAGGAGCAATCGTCACCGCTGCTTTTCTCGTTCCCTGAATGGGATCAAATGGCTTAGAGGCGTCCCCCTAAGACCAGATGATCAGCGAGTTCCTGGCACACACCGGAGCCTTCTTGGACCAACTTTGGATTTTTGGACCGGAGAAACCAAGAGAGGCCGTGTGGATTTTCCCTTGTTAACCAGGCCCCGGGGAAACTTACCAGTAGGCGAGATCAGTGACCGATGTGCATGCACGGAGAGGTGACTGGAGGCTGAGGAGCTTCCTTTGTCTGGCAGCTGTGGCCTGCTCTCTGGGGTGGAGGGTTAGGTCCACAGGGTATGCAGACCTGAGCCACTCCCAGGTTTTGGTACCAGATGTAAGGTTCTTGTATTGGTTCAAACCCCAAAAGCATGCCAACAGACAACACGATGCGGTGTGGAGCAATATGCTGTTTTAATGAGTGCCTGGGTGCAGGCCGGCTGAGGCCTAAAATGGCGTCAGCCCTAAGTGAGGATGGGACAAAGGTTTGATAGTCTCCTGTAAACAGGAAGTGTCCTAGTCTGACTGCTACGTTGTACCTGGATGGCCTCTTTCTCGATCTTCAGGGGTACGTGTCTTCTGGCTGGCTCTCTTCCTGCTTCTGCTCTCTTGCTGACACACGCTGCTGGTGCCAAGTGGCTTTGTGTCTTGGGACTGGGCCTGCGAAGGAGGAGTTACTCATCTCCTTAAGCTTTCAGGCCCCGGGGAGAATCTGACACACACACACATATATGTATGTGTCTCTCTCTCTCTATATATATATACACATACATGTATATAAGCTCACAGTGTTAACCAATGCCTCATAATAAATCATATATGTAACATAATAAATCATATATAGGCTGATCTGCCTTCTGTAAGTTGGAGACCCAGGGAAGCCACTGGTATAGTTCTAACTCAAGCCCGAAGGCCTGAGAAGCAAGAAAGCCAATGATGTAAGTCCGAATTCTAGTCCAAGGGCCCAAGAACCAGGAGAAGATAGATCTTCCAACTCAAAGAGAGACAATAAATTTGCCCTTCCTTCACCTTTTTGTTATATTTGGTCCCTCAATTAATTAGATGATACTCTTCCATACTGGTGAATTTGATTTTCTTTACTCTGCCTGCTGATTTAAACACTAATGTCTTCTGGAAATGCCCTCACAGACACACTCAGAAATACTGTTTCACCAGCTATCTGGGCATTTCTTAGCCGAGTCAAGTTGATACATAAAATTGATGACCACAACACCTTTGTATCCATTAATGACTAATTCTATGGTTGCTAACCTCTGAAATTCATTTAATAAATACTTATAAATGAATGGATAAATAAATAGGTAAAGGAAACAATAACTTAGACATTCAAGAATCTTTTGTCTAACCATAATTTTTATATTTAGTCTTGAACATTTAGAATCCATCATTATGTATGACAACAATTTTTTTGCAATAAAGAAAAACTTTATTGAAAGTTACTGTGAACCCTGAATATTTGAGACTGTCTCAGTTAATTTAGAAAATTTACTTTGCCAAGGTTGAGGACACAGGCCCATGACACAGCCTCAGGAGGTCCTGAAGACATGTGC
This sequence comes from Homo sapiens, assembly GCF_000001405.40. Taxonomy (NCBI): domain Eukaryota; kingdom Metazoa; phylum Chordata; class Mammalia; order Primates; family Hominidae; genus Homo; species Homo sapiens. The sequence continues at coordinate 137,280,462 of NC_000008.11, read as the reverse complement.
CCAAGGTGGTCAGAGCACAGTTTGGTTATACATTTTAGGAAGACGTGAGACATCAATCAATATATGTAAGATGTACATTGGTTCCATCCAGAAAGCGGGGCCAACTCAAGCAGGAAGGGGGCTTCTGGTCACAAGTAGGTGAGAGACAAACAGTTGCATTCTCTGGAGTTTCTGATTGGCTTTTCCAAAGGAGACAATCAGTCAGGCATTCATCTCAGTGAGCAGAGGGATGACTTTGAATAGACTGGGAGACAGGTTTGCCATAAGCAGTTCCCAGCTTGACTTTTCCCTTTAGCTTAGTGATTTGGGGTCCCCAAGATTTATTTTCCTTTCACATTACCATATGAAAATAAAGTGAATCCCCATTGGCATATTTTTTTTCACTCATGTATTCAACTATATTTAAGGGCCTACTAAGGGCTACTATTGATTGAGTCTGAAAAAATTCACAGGATCAAAGATCACACTTCTCTTGGAATAGAATAAATGGTTTCTTTATCCTTTGTATTACTTTAAATTAATATTTGGGAACTACTTCGGGAGATTGTCTATATTTTCCAAATTCTCTTGTTAAAAGACTGCTTTCAGAAAGAGAGGCAATTCCAAGGTAGGAAGCCAATGGCAGATATCCCGGAGTCCATTATCAAAGAAGCTTGACCAAATAATTAGTTGCAGTCCCTACCCTGGAAACTTCAGGCTAGTTGATTTCAGTCTTGTTAGTAACAACAGGGTCATGCATTTCCTGGTAATTAAACTTGTGGAAGCTCATTTGCTGTCAGTGTTATGGTCACTTTCCTGACATTTATTCGTTTTGTTTCTCCTGAGGTTATTTCTCTTGCCATGATTGCCACCACCTTTCACGACTATGTAGCTCTTCAAAAATTAAACATTGATAAATGTTTTAAGGACAAAGAGGAAAGCTGTTTAGAGCTGACATGAAATTTTCTCTTGTTTCTTTAAAGCTTGTTTGCCAGGGAATGAAAAGCTACAATTACTTTAACGTGATCATGGGTTTTCATACCAATGCTGAATGCACAATTACTCTTGGCTTCAGCGATGTGTTTGAAAAGGGAGACACAAAAAGGTAATCAACTTGCTGTCTTTGGCGGACAAAAGGAGAATGATTCAGGAAGGATCAGAGGGTAGAGGAAATGGCTGCAGAAAAATTCCCCTCCACAGAGCCCAAGCTGTAGTTTAACTATTTCAGACTTTCTTTCTAGTCCTTGTAATTTAAGAACTGTTCCATTTTCAAATGATTAATCAGATCAGTTTGTCTGAATATTAGATTTTCAACATCTTGGTCACAAATGTAATAGTATTTGATTGGGTTCTAATCATGCAATTAATTCCCGGGAGTAGATTCTGAAAAGCAATACTATACTAATTATGGCGGTTCCCTAGGAGTGAGAAGTAACCAGTGTTGTGATCTCAGGCATCATTTTAGCTTTGAGAAGGCTTAAGTCTCTTAATCTTTCTTTGAAACTTCAGAGATATTAAACTCTAAAAAACCCATTGGATTATTTGAGAAGAAAGAATATAATATAAAACACCATAACAAAACAACATAACATAATGCAAACAGATTGTGGAGAATCAGAGTGATATAAATGAAATGGGTTCTGCTTTGAAGCCAGGTCGGAGCAAGGCTTGAATGTACACTGCTGCTTACTAACTCTAGCTTTACACAGCCACTGAACTTCACTGAGCAAAAGGTCTCTCTTTAGTAAGTTAATTTTTTTAATGTTTTATTTTATTTTATTTTATTTATTTATTTTATTATTATTATTTTTTGAGATGGGGTCTCACTCTGCCACCCAGGCTGGAGTGCAGTGGCATGATCTCGGCTTACTGCAAACTCCACCTCCCAAGTTCAGGTGATTGTCATGCCTCAGCCTCCCAAGTTGCTGGGACTCCAGGTGTCTGCCACCATGCCCTGATAATTTTTGTATTTTTGGTAGAGATGGGGTTTCACTATGTTGACCAGGCTGGTCTTGAACTCCTGACCTCAGGCGTTCCGCCAGCCTTGGCCTCCCAAAATGCTGGGATTACAGGCATGAGCCACCATGCCTGTCCAATATTTTTTATTTTGAAGAGTTGTGAGCATTAGAAAAAAGAAAGTCAAATGTGTAGCATAGCATGTAGTAAATTGCAGTCAATAGTTAGTAGCTAGACAAATATATAATAATGATTAGACCAAAAGCACATTTTCAGCCATGTTCCTAGAATTTTAGAATAAGTTTTGCTGCATATTCAAATTGAGAAATTATGCAAAATGTTTTTGTTTCCACTGAATAGACAATAAGAAAAGAAATGGAAATACATGACCTCTGACACTCTAAACATTGTGCTTTCATTTTTCTCTACTCATTTGCTTATTGACATAGTTTGGATAATTATCCTTTCCGAATCTCATGTTGAAATGTGACCCCCAATGTTGGAGGAGCGGTCCTGGTCGGAGATGTTTGGGTCATGCGGGTGGATCTCTCATGAGTGGCTTGGTGTCTTCCCCATGATAATTACACGTGAGAGCTGGTTATTCAAAGGAACCTAGCACCTCTTGCTGTTGCTCTCACTGTGTGATACATCTTCTCCTCATTCACCTTCTGTCATAATTAGAATCTTGCTGAGGCATCATTAGAAGCAGATGTTGATGCCATGCTTCTCGTACAGTCTGTCGAACGATGAACCAAAATAAGCCTCTTTTCTTTATAAATTATCCATCCTCGGGTATTCTTTTATAGCAACAGAAAACAGACTAACACACTCATGTTGCTGCATTTGCCTAGAATGTTCCTCATCTCTTTCACTGTTTATCAAACTCCTATTCATTCCTTCAGGTCAGTACAAAAATGCATAGAAAATACGGGACTATGCATGAATGTCTGGCCATAGAATGAGAATGGGAATTGCTTGTATCTGGGACCTAGATCATAGATAAATTATCATAGGTGGTACCAAAGGGCCTTAGTGTTCCTCTCAGCTTGACTAAACTTTAGGTAGGTTTCTTCTTGATTCTAGGATCCTGACCCCCACCTTCTTAGAGCATTGGCTTTAGTAATCTTGTAATCATAAGGTCTTTTTCTGGCCCTTTGAGATGTAAATAAAATCACTAGCATGTATTACTACTTTTTACCATTAACATATGGATTGGTATGATCACATACACCTATTATTCTCCCAAAATTTATAGGTCTTGGGCATGTAAATAAGAAGCAAATCCATTATGCTAATAATTACCACAGTTCAAGAGAGATAGTTCTATAAATTTTTAGCAAAAGCTATAAATTTTAGCAAAAGTATTATTGCTTACATCTTAAAAATTATGAATTTTAGATAGCCTTCTTCCTGATTCTAGCACCCTGAGCTCCGTTTCTTAGAGCACTGGCTCTCAAAATCTTGTAACTTTTAAGTCTTTTTCTGGCCCCTTGAGATGTAAATCTTTTCAAAAGACTCTCACAAGTCTTACAACCCAGGAATAGAGTTCTCAAGAACCTGGGAGGCATACCCTTGAAATGTAATCATCACAGAAGATGGTGCCCCTCTATTCTGATCTCTGGGGGAGCATAGGAGCCTATCTTTGATGGGAGCCAATTAGCAAACAAGGATGGGCTAATCACAGAGAAAAACATTTACCAACTTAGGCCAGGTGCTGCGGCTCACGTCTGTAATCCCAGTACTTTGGGAGGCCAAGGCAGGCGGATCATTTGAGGTCAGGAGTTTGAGACCAGCCTGGCCAACATGGTGGAACCACACCTCCACTAAAAATACAAAAAGTTAGCTAGGTGTGGTGGCAGGCACCTGTAATCCCAGCTACTGGAGGAGGCCGAGGCAGGAGAATCACTTGAACCCAGGAGACGGAGGCTGCAGTGAACCAAGATCACGCCACTATATCTTGAAATTCTAGATACATCCCATTGATCAACCTCACCCATAACTTTTCTAGTATCTTTCTAATAGATTGATTCACTGCTACTCTTCTACTACAATATTCTTGAATAAAGTCTCCTTGTCTTTTTAAATGTGTCCAGTGCAATTTTTACTTTGACAGTAGTATTTAAACTTGGCTTTGGAAAACACTGCTTCATCTTCCAATGAGATAGAATATGGACCATCTTTTAATTTTCCCATAAAATATAGTGTCATTAAAATGGGTAATCATTGAAAGCATCTCGTTGTTTCACGTGTCTGCGTTTTGCAGATGGATGCCACCACCCACATTATTCCCTAGAATGAACCTCAATTTGTCTGCCAAAGTTGCTTCTCTATGAAGTCAACTTCCATCTGCTCAACTCTAATACCTTGTCTATACTTCTGTTTTATGGAACATGAAAAAATCATAATTTATACACCAGCACATTTTAGCTTTTCAAAATTCAGTGTATTCAAGTTAGAGAGTATGTCTTATTAATATTTCTTGTCTCCAATTTTTAACAGTGTCTGGAAATAGTAGAAACTTAACTAATGTATGATTAAAATTAATGTATAATATGTAGTATTTAAGCAATAAAACCACTGGCATCTACTACTACTTTGAACAATTAACATATGAATTAGTATAATAATATATGCCTATTATACTCCCCAAATTCGTAGGTCTTAGACGTGTAAATAACAGGCAAATCCAACATGCTAATAATTGTTACAGTTTAGGAGAGACAGTTCTGTAAATGTATTATTTCATATAACATCATAAAATTATAAAACACTATGTACAAACAAATGTAAAAACACAAGACAATGGATTTTGACTAGAGAACTGTTTTCTGGATTTTTCTGGTTATCAAAATCACTGGAAGCTTTTGCTAAAAATAGCAATACAGCCTGATGCAGCAGTTTCAAGTGAGATCTAGAGTCTAGAAAATACGAGGTGAGATGGATTTCGGGAAGATTTCTGGAAAATGTGGAATTTCAGCTGGTTTTTGAAAGCTGGGAGGACTTCTGGAGAGGCAGTTTGTAGAAAGGTATTTTAAGTACAGGGGACTGACAGGGCTCATTCCCAGAGATGGGAGACTGTGAAACATACTATGAAAGGCTGTAAGGTTGAAGTGGTAATAATGTAAGCTGCAAGCAAGGAAGAATGGGCATAAGAGTGGAATATAATACACCTGGAATAAAAATTTGAGGAAATCTAATTCTTAAGTGCATGAAGACCAAAAAAGAAACAGCTTTCACTGGGACCATTGTTTACGCTAAATTTTCCTACAATTTGTTAGGCAATATAGTGAGATGAAGGAGAACCCTCAGAGTAATATTTCTGCATACACACTTACTCTTCACAGTTTTTTAGAGAAAGAACTTATGAGAGAAGGCAGCGCCTCCATGTGTGCCATGAATAGTAATATCTATTTTGAATTCACCAATACTGCTGACAACCCCTCTCCTGAACGTCTGACCCAGTGCAAATCATAACTATAAATGGTTTATGTTTTCTCTAAATATCTCACACCTTTCTGCTCCCTGGAGCTTCAATGTCAGCCTTCAGTAAATGGTATAAGAGTCTATTTTGTTGGTGGTTTACCTACGGGGAATCGTCCCTGTCTTCTTATTTAACTTCCACATTGAATGTAAATGTTTTATATTTATTTTTCACCAGTAATCACAAGCCTGAGGCCAATGAGTGAATCTTGAGTAAAAGAATAAATGAGCTGGATTCATTCCGAACCTAATTCATTTCCTGTGAGCAAGTTGAGAGCTTAGGGAATTAACTCTTTCACAACAATAGAATATTTTACATCACATAGACCTGCTTTTTACTAAAATTAATTTTAGAAAAAGAATATTTATCTATACATTTTTGTTGTTTCCACTCCCACACAAAAATGTTTCAGAAAGAATACTATGATAGAGTATTGGATTTTAGCAGAAGACACCATCAGTTGGTGAATTTTAATAACCCTTGACAACTTTTTCTGCCTTTAAGTTGGTGTTTCTTAACTGGTGATTTTATGTGGTTCTACAGGCACAACATTAAAGAAATATTGAATTACATATGATGAAGTTATTTCTATTGTAAGTTCTTCTCGTTATACCAAAGTAGAACCTTTAGCAAATAAGCCTACCACTGGCTTATATTTTCCCAAAAAAAGTAAAGTGTTTTTTTTTTAACATAACACATGTGTAAGCAAAAAAATGACTCCATGCAAATTATTAACGGTATAAATATATTTAAAGAGTAGCAGTTCATATAAATTTAATAACACAAGAGGTTCATAGGATTGCAGTAAATTAGGAAGGTCATATTATAATAACAGAGGTTTAGAAAACACTGCAGCCAGAATTATTTCTCAAAATTCAATTTTGACTAAGCCACACTCTTCTTAAAATCTTTCCACTAAAATCCCATCTTAGTAAATAGTAGCATCCAATTGGTGTTCTCTTTCAAGCCCATCAGCAAGTCCTACCTCTGAATTTTGTCTTAAATTTTCTGGTTCTCCCTCTCTGCTTCCACCATCATCTACTACGTAAATTGGAGAGTCTTCTAAATCCACTATTTTCCTCTTCTGTTGCCATTTTCCACCCCAATCAATTTCTCAAGGAGCCAGAATGGTTTTTCTAACTATATGTCGGATCAGCTCACTCCTCCACTGAAAATCCTTCAATTACTAAGAAGAACATATTTAAACTGAGTCGGGTGTGTGTGTTGGGGGGGAATGTGAATTTATTTTCTGGGCTTCTGAAACACTAAATACTCAGGATCCTGACCACTTCTCTGGCATCATTTCCTTCTGGTCTTCCCATTTTCAGCCACACTTGCCTTTTTTGGGCCCCCAGAATATGCTAAGTTCATTTCCAGCATAGTAATTTTGCACTACTTGACCCTCTGCCTAAAATGTGTGCCCACAAAACCCACGCATCCTCCACACACCACCTGTTTGTATACCAGTTCTCCCTGAGCTTTCAGATCTGAGTTTCAATGTCATGTCCCCGGACCACACCATCCAAAGGGAACCCATTCAGTTGTTTACGTAACTCTCATTGTAAAACGATTTATTGTATGTTATAGGTATTTATTAGTTTACTTTTAGTTTTTCCTACTAGTGTATAAGCTCCATGAATGCAAGGACCTATTACATGTTATTTATTGTTTTATTCCTGTAAAAACAGAGCCTGGCACATGTCAAGGACTTGGGATCTGAAGATGAACTGAGGCGTCTGACTCTGAATTTTCTCCTGGCTTCAGGCACACCTTGTGCTTCCTTGGTTTGGTTTCCTCTTTCTCATTTTCTCCCTACCTGAAATGCCATCTTCTGCTTCAATCTGATGATCACTTGCTGGTTCTTTGAAAAATTAGGGTGACTGGTAGCCTGGTTTGCCTAGGACAATAGGTCTATTGCTCTGCTATAATCTTGATAATATTTCCTTTCATTCTCATCAAGAGAGAATTTAAGAACTGGTAGATATGCTATTATCCACTCTTTCAGGATCTCATGGCATTTTGTACATAATTTTAATAGCTGTATTGACTACATTATATTTCGATGATCATGTATGTGTGCATATGTATATAATTTTTAACTTTATATTTTGAAATAATTTGACTTTAAAATATTACAAAAGTAAAGAGTTCCCATAAATCTTTCACCCAGCTTCTCAAAATGTTAACATGTTATATAACCAAATTATAACTATCAAATCTGAGAAATTATCATTAATGTAATAAACAGATCTGCTAATCTGTAATTTATATTTTGTATACTGTCTCACCATTGTCCTTTTTCAGGCCCAAGATCTAATGTGGGATCACACATTGTATTTATTTGTAATGACTTCTTAGTTTCCTTCAATCCTTCTTTGTTTTCCATGATTTGAAATTTTGGAAGTTCTGGTCAGTTTTTTTTTCAGTGTCTAGAAATAACATTTTATTGGCACACAGTCATGCTCAGTTGTTTAAACATTTCTTTCTTTTTTAAATTTAACTTCCTTCATATATATATATTTTAATATTTTGTATTTATTCTTATTTTTTTGAGTCGGAGATTCGCTCTGGTTGCCCAGGTTGGAGTGCAATGGTGCAATCTGGGCTCACTGCAACCTCTGCCTCCCGGGTTCAAGCGATTCTCCTGCCTCAACTTCCTGTGTAGCTGGGATCACAGGCACGTGCCAGGATGCCCTGCTAATTTTTGTATTTTTAGTGGAAATGGGGTTTCACCATGCTGGCCAGGCTGGTCTCAAACTCCTGACCTCTGGTGATACACCTGCCTTGGCCTCCCGAAGTGCTGGGATTACAGCTGTGAGCCACCGCGCCCGGCCCACTTCCTATATTTTTGAACTTCTATTTTAGGTTCAGCGGTACAGGAGCGGGTTTCTTATATAGGTAAATTCATGTCACAGGAGTTCGTTGTACAGAATGTTTTGCCACCCAGGTGCTAGGCCTAGCACCCAACAGATATTTTTTTCTGATCCTCCCTCTCCTCCCACCCTCTGCCCCCAAGCAGGCCCCAATGTCCATTGTTCCCATCATTGAGTGCATGTCTTCTTATCATTTAGCTCCCACTTATAAGTGAGAACCTGCAATATTTGGTTTTCTGTTCCTGTGTTAGTTTGCTAAGGATGTAATGGCCTCCAGCATCATTCATGTTACTCCAAAGACATGATCTCACTCTTTTATATGGCTCAAAGTAGCATGGTATTCAATGGTCTATCTGTACCACATTCTTTTTGTCCAATCTGTCATTCATAGGCATTTAGGTTGATTCCATGTCTTTGCTATTATGATTAGTGCTGCAGTGAACATTCACATTCACGTGTCTTTGTAATAGGTAGGTTTATATTCCTTTGGATATATACCCAGTAATAAGATCGCTGGGTGGAATGTTCTGTTTTTAGTTCTTTCAGGAATCGCTACACTGCTTTCCACAATAGTTGAATTAATTTACTCTCCTACCAACAGTGTATAAGCATTCCCTCTTCTCTGCAACTTTACCAGCTTCTGTTTTTTTTTCTTAATAGCCATTTTGACTGGTGTGAGATGGTATGTCATTGTGGTTTCAATTTGCATTTTCCCAATGATTAATAAAGTTGAGCTCTTATTCATGCTTGTTAGCTGCATGTCTGTCTTCTTTTGAAAACTGTCTGTACATGTTCTTTGCCCACTTTTAAATGTTTTCTTTTCTAGTAAATTTGTTTAAATTCTTAATAGATGTTGGATATAAGACCTTTGTCAGACGCAGAGTTTGAAAATATTTTCTCCCATTCTATAAATTGTCTGCTTACCTGTTGATAGTTTCTTTGCTGTAGAGAAGCTCTTAAGTTTAATTAGATACCACTTTTCATTTTTGCTTTTGTTGTAATTGCTTTTGGTGTCTTTGTCATGAAATCTTTTCCAGTTCCTATGTCCTGAATGGTATTGCCTATGTTGTCTTCCAGAGCTTTTATAGTTCTGGGTTTTACATTTAAGTCATCAGTCCATCTTGAGTTGATTTTTGTATATTGTGTAAGGAAGAGGTCTGGTTTCAATCTTCTACATATGGCTAGCCAGTTATCTCAGCACTATGTATTGAATAAGTAGTCTTTTCCCCATTGCTTGTTTTTGTCAGCTTTGTTGAAGATCTGGTGGTCATTTGTGTGCAGCCTTATTTCTGGGTTCTGTATTCTGTTCTATTAATCTATGTGTCTGTTTTTGTATCAGTGCCATGCTGTTTTGGTTACTGTAGCCCTGTAGTATAGTTTGAAGTCAGGTAACATGATGCCTCTAGCTTTGTTATTTTTGCTTGTAATTGTTTTGGCTATTTGGGCGCATTTTTTGTTTTTTATGAGTTTTAAAATAGTATTTTCTAGTACTGTAAAGAATGTCATTGGTAGTTTGATAGGAATCTTGTTGACTCTGTAAATTGCTTTGGGTTTTATGGCCATTTTAATAACGTTGCTTCTTCCTATCCATGAGTATGGAATGTTTTTCCATTTGTTTGTCTCATCTGTGATTTCTTTGAGCAGTGTTTTATAGTTCTCATTATAGAGATCTTTTGCTTTCCTCATTAACTGTATTTCTAGGTATTTTATTTTATTTTTTTTGCATGACAGTTTTGAATGGGAGTTTGTTTCTGATTGGGCTCCTGGCTTGGCTGTTATTGACATATAGAAATGTTAGTGATTTTTGTACATTGATTTTGTATCCTGAAATTTTGTTGAGGTTTTTTTATCAGCTAATGGAGCTTTTGGACCAAAACAATAGGGTTTTCTAGATATAAAATCATGTAATCTGCAGGCAAGGATAGTTTTACTTCCTCTATTCCTGTTGGGATGCCCTTTATTTCTTTTTCTTGCTTGATTACCCTGGCCAGGACGTCCAACACTATGTTGAAAAAGAGTAGTGAGAGAGAATATCCTTGACTTGTGCCAATTTTCAAGGGGAATGGTTCCAGCTTTTGCTCATTCAGTATGATAGTGGCTCTGGGTTTTTCACAGGTGGTTCTTATTATCTTGAGATATATTCCTTCAATATCTAGTTTATTGAGAGTTTTTTTCACATATATGGATGTTGAATTTTATCAAAAACTTTTTCTGCATCTATTGAGATGATCACGTGGCTTTTATCTTTAGTTCTGTTTATGTGATGAATCACGTTTCTTGATTTGCATATGTTGAACCAACATTGCTCAGGGATAGAGCCTACTTCATTGTGGTGGATTAGCTTTTTCATATGCTTCTGGATTTGGCTTGCAAATATTTTATTGAGAATTTTTGCATCTATGTTCATCAAGGATATTAGCCTGAAGTTTTCTTATTTTGTTGTGTCTCTGCCAGGTTTTGATATCAGGATGATACTGGCCTCATATAATGAGTTAGAGAGGAGTCATTCCTCCTCAATTTTTGTAATAGTTTCAGTAGGAATGATACCAGCTTTTCTCTGAACATCTGGTTAAATTTGCCTGTGAATCTATCTGGCCCTGGGCTTTTTTTATTGTCAGGCTATTTATTTACTGATCCATTTCAGAGCTCCTTATTGGTCATTAGTCAGGGAATCAATTTCTTCCTGGTTCAGTCTCAGGAAGGTGTATGTGTCAAGAAACTTATCCATCTCTTCTAGGTTGTCTTGTTTGTGTGCATCATCAGGAGGTGTTCCTAGTCGTCTCTGATGGTTGTTAGTATTTCTGTGGGGTCAGAGGTAACATCCCCTTTGTCATTTCTAATTGTGTTTATTTGGATCTTCTCTCTTTTCTTCTTTATTGGTCTACCAAGTGGCCTATATATCTGGATGCATTGGTCTTTTAAGTGGTTTTTCATGTCTTCATATCTTTCAGTTAAGCTCCGATTTTGCTTATTTTTTGTCTTCTGCTAGCTTTGGGGTTGGTTTGCTCTTGCCTCTCTAGTTCTTTAAGTTGTTATGTTAGACTGCTAATTTGAAATCTTTCTAACTTTTTGATGTGAGTATGCAGTGGTAAAAATTCCCCTCTTAGCACTGCCTTAGTTGTGTCCCAAAGATTATAGTATGTGGTAATTTGTTCTCATTGTTTTCAAAGAATTTCTTGATTTCTACCTTAATTTCATTATTTACACTGACAGGTAATTTGCAAACTGCCTTTAAAATTGAGTTTCTCTGATGTCTCCTCCTGATTAAATTAAGGTTATACATTTTTTGCAAGAACAGGATAGAAGAGATGCCAGGTTCTTCTCTGGACATCACCTGGGAGGTACATGATGGCTTCATGCCTTGTTCTCGGTAGTGATAGCTTGTGATCATATAGTTAAAGTGGTGTATGCCAGATGTCTTCATTGTAAAGTTATTATTTTCCCCTTGTAATTGATAAAATTTAAGATGGGTGATAGTTTGAGACTATGCAAATATTCTTTCTCTCACTATTTGCTCACCCCCTGATTTCCAGAGCCATTTCTGATTCTCATCTGCAATAAATATAAACTGCAGTATTTACCAAATGGTAATTTTCTAATTTTACCATTCACTCTACGTTTACTAATTGGGGTTCTATTTTAAGAATAAACTGTCCATTAACCCTCATTTATTTATCTATTCAAATATCTATTTATATTAGTATAGAATATGAATATTTATTTTATCAATTTATATTCTTATTCAAATTATTTCAGACCTGGTCACGGGTATCTCCAGGTTGTTACTTGTGTCCTTTTAGTCAAATTTCTCCATCATTTTATAAACACTACTTTAATTTTTTATACCCCTCTACATTCCAAAGTCATCCTGTAGTTTCTCTAGAATAATTTCCTCCAAAGAGCCTTGGTTCCTTTTATTGAAGAATAGACTTAATAGCTAAGATATGCATACTAGGTATGCTCATTGCTACTAGGGCATTGTTATTTTTTGTTCCTTAGAGCACAAGCTAGGATGTATATATATATATATGAAGTATTTATATGTGTCACAAATGTATATATGTTTCTATATCTTACTGTTTGCACATATATTACAAACCATGAGTTCATGCTGATAATTCTGATTCCATTCCAACACCACAAGGCTCATTCTAGCTTTCCCTATTTCTTCATTTATAACATCTTTTTCCAACAATAGAAAAACCAGGCACTCATTATACACAGTATGTTTACCAATTTGTTTACTCTTAGATTATCCTAAAAGTAACTTCAGAATTAGTAATTCATATTTTTCTGTAAACAGATTTACCAACTATAGATCAATATGTTTGTGTAAAGTTCTTTTTGTCTTTAGTTTTACAGTAAATAGTCAAGTGTAATTTTTATAGTTAATTAAACTAGTTATTGTTTTAGATGCTTATAATTATTAAATTTCCTTGTAGCAGATATGGTCATAATATTAACAGTAATATCATTACTAATATTTATTGAATTTTTCACGATTCCACTCTACATGAATGTTTTCATAGTAAATGTATAATTGGCCTATAATTATTCCTATTCCACAGGTAAATTATCAGAGATGCCCAGAGGAAAAACAAGTTATTTGAGGGAATAGAAAAAGTAACAGTAATCACAGGACTATAGTTTAAAATATAGTATGTTGTATGTTTAGTCAGCTATACCAGTAGCAGATGGAATAATCAATAGCTTAGGAAAAATAAAATAATAAATGAATATCAGGCACAACGTATGAACAGCAAGGAAGGTGGACCTTACATGTGCTAGCCAGAATTTTCAGAAACGGCTTTTGAGTTTGGTAGAAGTGTGGTCCATGATTACAGGCAGAGCTTAGTTCATAGGCAGAAATTAGTAAGCCACCTTGATTGAAATAGTGGAACAAGAGAAATAGAGTCACAGTCTTCACTTGCCTCCTCAGGTGTATAGAAGATGGAAGTCATATAGGTCTTTTATTTTGTTTATGGTATTTCCAAAAATGAAGATACTTTTTCAGTCACAAGCTGCAAAATGGAAAATCATGTTGCTAATTCCTGGGCCACATCAGTCTAATCTGTCATGATTTCCATTTGAGACAAGAGCTCTCAGATTCAATACTCACATTATCATAGGCCAGTTCTGCGAAGTAGTATGAGATTGCAGAACGATTTTCCAACATCCATAAGTAAAATGTATCTCTCTTCTGATACCAGATACTTTTGTGTCCTTCATGAAAACAGCAAATCATAGAACATCAATGTTTCTGAGTCCTATGCACTATCTGAAAAGAGATGGAGTAATAGGATCTCAAAAGGCTGTATCCATCAGTTAATTCTAACTGCTGGATACTCATTCAAAAGAGCAAAATCTTAAATCTGGTTTGTATAATAGTCTTTATTAGGCTTTGCAACACCATTCTACTCATTCCTGCTGGTCTTATTTTTTTGGATGGAGAAACACATTGTTTCACTCTTTCAACAGGTATTCATTAAGGATATCCTGAGTACAAAGTCCTGTGTTAGTAATTTGGAATTAGGGAGATGAGTTAAAATAGCTCCTGCTTATTAGTCTTTGTCAAGATGCTCATGAACTCTGATTTTTGTATTTAAAGATGATATCCAGCACTCCACAGCTAATATCACACTTGATAAATATAAGGTGTGACAAAACATACTCTAGGCAAATACACACTCTGCTACTGCTATATTACATCTTCTGCCTTAAATCCATTTGTATACCCCTGCCAAAACAAGCTCACCTAGATCATGTAGAAATATCAAGAACCCTTATTTTCTTCCCTCTTCTAATGCCTGCAGCTGAACCAGCCATTTCGTCTTTTCCATTCTTTCTTTCACCTGAGCCTTAAGCCATTTGTCAATTCAACCGAAAGAATTTTAGGCTCTTCTTAGCTGCCACACTGAGCCAATGAAAGGAAAGATAATGAACAATGTGTAGGAAGAAACTTCCCTACTCTTTTGTGTCTTCTACCGACATTTCATCTTCTGCTTCGGGTACCCTCTCTTAACCCTTGATTTTAATATGAAAGATTCTCCTTCTCCCAGTAAAAAGAGAGGCCCGGAGGATTGAAAGGAGCTGTCTATTTGCTATTTGCAATGACATTGCAACATTCATTTTCATGAGGGATCTTATAACGTACTTGGGGAAATAGGCACATTAATAAAATGAAATAATTAAAAATAGAATAAAATAAGTGCTTGGAGTATTTATTTTATTAAGTGAAATCTCAGCATTTTATGAAAGCAGCATACTATGAAAAATTTGAGAGAAGCCATATGAATCCAGTGTGGGGCATTGTGAAAGATTTCCAAGGAGGAAGTGAGCTGGACCTTTAGGGAGGGATAGTATCCACAAACAAAAAGCAATCAAGGAGCGTGGTTTCTTAAGCTGAAAAAACAAGGACCAAAACTTAACAAGAATCTTAGTTATTGAAGCAAAAAAGTGTAATTACATTGTATGGAACGTCTTCTAAGTGAAGTCTAGTAATGACCTTTTATTTCTGTGGAATACATTAGGCTTTACAAACATTTTATTTAATGCTTCAAGGTACTTGGGAGTTAGGTCTTAAACGTATACTTTAGAACCATTTCATTGATATAAAGACAGAGAGTAGGTGAGGTTTAAGTGGCTTCCCTGCCTTCTTGTTTTCAGAAAATTTTGTCCAATATGAGGCACCAGGAGGATACAAATGGAAAAGGAAAGAAAGGTCAGAGTGTTCATTCAACCACACTACTTTGTGGCCTCAACCCTTGGCCATGCTTGGGGAGGGCTGAGTTCCTCTCCTGCGGCCTCAGGGGTTATCAGGCTGTCCCTGTCTTATTTGCTATGCCTCCCCCGGTCTAGTAACCACTCTCTTCCCTTGCCAACATGCCTGGGTGTGGTAAATCTAATTTCTCATCTCCCCCCACCCCCATTTTCCCTATGCTATCACTGTGGATAACTTTATGTATAATTCTTCATTGAACTTTCTCCCTTTACCTCTTTGGGTGTGCCAGTTGCTTCCTGCTGGGTTCCTGACAGATTGTAGCCTAAACTGATATTAGCCTGGTATGAAATCAAGGCCTGAAGAGTTTCAAAGTCTTGGTCTAAGAAAGCCTGCCTTTTGAATGGAATAACTCTCGTCAGCCAGACTTCTTCCTGATAGCCACATTTATTTACTTAATCCTCTCAACAAATCTGTGGTGTTGCTCTTATCAACTTTATCTTTTATTTGAGAAAAGAGAGGTTAATTGTCCAAGTTCCTGTAGCTTTTAAAAACAAATTTGATGGTAAGGCGTGGTGGCTCACACCTGTAATCCCAGCAGTTTGGGAGGCCAAGGCAGGTGGATTGCCTGAGGTCAGGAGTTCCAGACCAGCCTGGCCAACATAGTGAAACCCCATCTCTACTGAAAATACAAAAAAAAATCTGGGCATGGTGGTGGGCGCCTGTAATCCCAGCTACTCAAGAGGTTGAGGCAGGAGAATTGCTTGAACCCAGGAGGCGGAGGTTGCAGTGAGCCAAGATCATGCCATTGCACTCCAACCTGGGCAACAAGAGTGACTGTCTCAGAACAAAACAAAAAACAAACAAAAAAACAAATTTGACTTTTCTTACTTCATGATCTCACTAGATGACATTTTCTTGGCTTAAAATACTATCACTATGTTGAAGACTTTCAAATTTGTATCTCCATCTAGATTTCTTCCCTGAGCTCCAGGACTATAAACTAAAATTCCTTCTCCAAACCTCTGCTAGGATTAATTTTAAAAAACCCAAACATAATGTTAAATTAAAATGCTGGTTCTATTTTCCTCATGTAATGTACTCCCTACAGCTTTTCCCACTTGAATACATGTCACCATCATGCATGCAGTTTCCCAACCTCATATTTAACACATCATCAGGTCTCCAAAATATATTCTAAATCTCATCATTTTTCACAATATTGACTGCCAAAAACTAAGTCCTCATGTTGTCATATCTTGACTGTGGTAACACAACAACACAATGGCCTCCAAACTGCTTTCCTGAGTCCTGTTCTGATCTTCATAACTGTCTTCTTCACCATTGTCTATGAGACTTTCCAAAATTATATATTGCATGGAAACACTTTCCCAAAATGGCTTTAAAATCCTCCATAATTTAGCTTCTGCTTAACCTCCTACCCCAGTCTTTTCTATCTTTTGCTTAAATATCATGAGCTTTCCTTTTGCACCTTAGATAGCATAAGCCTTCATCCCTAATGATTATGGCACGATAGTTCCCATGTTTTCTCATTGTTTTTTTCTACCTTTGCATGGATGCCTCCTTCTCATTTCACATCAGAACTCCATGTCCACCTCCTCAGAGAGTCTTTTCCAGCTTTACTAAGACAGTATTCTCCTCCCTTAATTTACAATTTAGATGCTTTGCTTTACTTAGTTGTATATATCAGTGCCTTAAATCACCTTTTCTTCCTTCTTTCTTTGTTCCTATTTTCTTTTCTTCTTTCCTTTATACTACATTTATTTCATTCTTTCCTTCCTACTAAAATATAACCTTCAGAGGAGTAGAAAACCCAATTGTATTCTTAGCTGCTAAGATGGATGTCCAGGACATCCATGCAGCACATGACATAAAATAATTAAATGTATCAAGATTTTATTAGGGGAAATACCTGAGATGAGGAAGGCTGAGAGATTCATCAGACATCAGACCATGATGCAAGGCTGACAGCAAGTTAAAAAGAAGAAAGAGGGTTGAGAGGAAGCCCTCAATTTCCATGTAGTCTAAAGGTTCAGCAGGGCCACCAGGTCCTTGAGTCAAAGTCATCTGACAAAGGGTCTCCAAGTCTCCCAGCAGTAGGTTTTCCTTAGCATTCATGCTGCAGGAATTATTGGTAAGGAGCAGCTGCAAAAGGTGTGGCCTGAATGTAAGGGCAGCTACAGATTGCAAAGCACAGCAGCTGAGGTCCTGCACCAAATACAATCCCTGTAGTGAATCTGCCAGGTACATTCTCAGGCCAGAACGGCTGCTCTTACTCAAGAATAAAACCAGTTCTTGAGACCCAACTGGTGCTCCATACAAGACTTTATTTTTTTTCCCCAGAAGAATGGGCTAAGAGTAAACAACTCAGTGATAAGCAACAGCCCATGCCCGGTCAAGAAGATTACTTTGTATGATGGAGACAGACACATAAAGTAGTGCATTTAGAAAGAAGAGGGGAGAAGGTCTAACTCCTACTAGGGAGGGGACTGAGAATGACCAATGGCATCATAGAGAGCCTCTAAACTGGTGAAACGAGAGCATGCTCAGGTGTAAGAAAAGCTTTCCTTTGATTGGATGAGATTTGGTTAAATGAGATTGCAATAAGTTGTGTCCTAATAACATGTCTGTTTGTCTTGGGCCACTTAGTCTCAGGAGGAGATGCCTGTGTGTTTGTAAATGTATCAAGATAATAAACAGTGATACCTCATATATATTAAATATGCAAAAATATATAATTGCATATTTAGGAATAAATCCATTTTCCAACTGCTTTCAGATTATTTTCAGAAAACACTTTAGATGAGATCACACTGAGTATGTTTGTCATTATGAATTAGAAGTTGAAAGTCCATGTCCAAAAAAAGCAAAACAACTCAGAAGTAACAAAAGCCAAAAAGCAGTATGTTCTGTATAGCTAAACTGAAAAGTAGTGAGCTGAAAATTGTGAAAGAACCAAAGGAGGACTTATAATCACATTTTGTCTAAGTTGAATTCCATTTTTCAACAGCATAATATGAGATAATAAATAGCACTGATGTCAAAGAGAAGAAAAGAATATATTTCATCAGTCTATTCACACTAAAGTCTATTATGGGTGAACTCCCCCCACCGTCAGGTTATCAGGTATATTTTAGCACCAGCTGGCTAAAATAGTCTCATCTCCTAAGGTCTCGGTTCAAGAGGCATTATCTTTCACCCAATCCCTTTTCCTACATAAAGCACTGACTGTGGAAATCAAAAGAACTATCTCAGCTCTTGGTCATTCCCTATCAAGGGACAGTACACTGCCCTTTCATTATGCTTGTCATTGCTTCAAATTAGAGTCACACATGAGTGGACCTGACTGCACTTACTTCATAATAAACATCATTTAACCCTGTTCTGCTTTCTTTGTGACTTTCCATTAAGTGATTTAGTAGAGAAAGCAACAGAGACTTGGTTATGTCTTTGGAGTGCAGGAGTTATGAGGTTGATGCAAAAGTTATCACGGTTTCTGCCATTAAAAATAACTTCATGTTTTTCCACTAAAAATAATGGCAAAAACTGCAATGACTTTTGCACCAACCTAATACGTAGCCCCAGCAAATGGTGGGCCACACGGGTCAATTCATTCATGGGTCCCATTCTGTTTGCATCATGGATCAGACTAAAACTAACATGAATAGAAATGGCCAGAAAAATCAATCATTCCAAAAGGTTGAAAAACCCAAAGCTTGATAGTTGTACACACCATTATTTGCTTCTGCATAAATCAGTTTGGTATTAGGTGCCAGCTTTTGCAAAGGAAGGGGCATATATATTTTAAGAAATGACGGTACTATTGCTTAAATGAATAAAGAACAGGAAGTAACAGAGTATTGGTAGAGACTGAAATGCAATGGGAAGCCATTTATTTATTCAATAAATATTCCACAATTTCTCCTAAGCGCTGGGCACAAAGTACCTAAAGGAAAAGAAGACTAAGTGCTTCAGTGAACACTCCCAGGCTTGGGCAGCCACAGTTCCAGAACACAAGATAAATAAATGCTGAAAAGAAAGCCCTGGTATGGTGCTGTGACTTCTGCATTAATGAGGTACCACTGTGGGAAGATCTATGATGCTGGTAGGTACATTGCAAAATTCATTCATTTTTTTTAAACTGGCTTGCTCCTCTTAGGAAGGCAACTTTTCTTATAATTAGTATTAATAACAACAGTACATATATACTTCTTTGAAGTCTAGCTGGCACCCATATGTTGAGTATTTATGTAGTTTCTCATCTGACCTCTACAACAGCCTCATGTGGTACTGATCTAAAATTGGAGGGGAAAAAAGCTTGTAGAAGAGAGATACATGAAAAAGGGTTAAATAATTTTATATGAATATGGCTAAACATGTTGGCATTTTTTTCATTTCCCTCCTGAAATTATCAAACATAAAAAAATAAAAATTGAAACATGATACAAACTTCATTTTTGGCAAAGGTAGTTTATCAGGTAAAGTCCCTCTTTTCAATCATGAGAAAAGGTGGCTAAACGTAGCTGAGATAGAACACATAAATGAAGAAGCAAAAAGAAGACAACAAAGGTTAATGAGCCAGCTCAGAATCAGTAGATTTTGGAAATCCCAGCAAAGACATTATTTCTAAAAGAGAGGGGTACATCCTAAAGAGAGACAAGTATATGCCTTCTTTAGAATATTAATAATGGGGCAATTAGGGATAGAAGAAAAAACTCTCCAGGCCCTGGGGTTTGGTTTATAAAAGCAAAGGAGAGGCTGCTACATCAAAAGTAACATATGCACCATGACTGCAGGGGGTAATCTGTCTCTTTGGCAACAGAAAATAAGAGAGTCTTTGGAATATGGAAAGCAACTATGCCTTGAAGATGATACTGACCACTTCCTACGTAAAAGTCCAACTCATTCATTTGATGATGTTAGAAAAGGAACCTGCACTAAAACAGATTCTATAAGAAATAAAATATAGAAAAAGATTGGCAAACTTACTAATGAAGAATACTATCAGGCTAAAAAGCAAATATAGTTTATGCAAAAAATATTATCTGACTTTTTGCATATTTAATGCTTTTGTCTATAACTTCAATGGTTTAAGGATAGCTTGCCCAGATCTAAAATCCTTGCATTGCATATTAGTTATATATTGTTAAGGAACAACTTAACACAAAACCTGTTGGCATAAAATATCAGGACACATTTATCACCTATCTCGTGCAGTTCCTGTGGGTCAGAAATTCAGGAGCATCTGGGCCAAAAATGAGCAGACACAAGTTGAGGTTTTTCTTATATACATTTTAATATGTTTTGAGTGGTGATTCATGTGACTTATGTTATACTCAAAATTAAGAAAGCAATTTAATTCCCGTTAAGGATAGAGGCTTCATCTATACCCCCCCACCCCCATGTCTGAGTAAGGAGCCCCTACTCAGGCGCCCTGATGGCTAGCTGATTTTAATACCTAACATTTACAGCATACGGGCATTTTCTTAATGCTTTCCTTTAGGGAAGCCGCTTAACCATCTACCTTCTTTGTGAGGTAGGTCCCATTGTTGCTTTTATTCTAAACACCAGACAATTGAGGCACAGAGGAATCAAACGAGCAATTCAGCCAGGAGAGAACATTCACAGGAGGGACAAATAGATTTGAATGCAGGCTTTCTGGACCCAAAGCTTGCACCCACATCATTACTCTAAATGCCCAAAGTAAACAAATGCTACATACATAAACCTTTATTAAACTGCAAAGTTTAAAAGGAGGAATTCTCCATGATTTAAACAGCTCTCTCAGGATAGCAGTCAAGCAGAGACTGATCCTGTTTATATTATCCTGGAAGTCACTGGATTTGCTTTGGGAAAGGTTTTCTAGTTTATAGCTCCTTGGTGGCATTTTCATGGGGCAGAGGGAGGTATGACATGCAATACAGTTAAATGCTTTATCTTTTCTGATATTTATTTATTTAAAGTGAATGCTGTTCTGAAAGGTGTTAATCTTCATTGCTTGTCATTTCCAATCAATTTACGATGCTGGGGGTGAGCTGTGGACTGTTAAATCAATGCCAATTATGACTGAGTGCCTGCATAGAGGTTCAATTGTCCGAATCCTGTACCATCCTCAATTTATAGCCTCATTGCTGGAGAAAATCTGAACTTCTCTGTCAACGCTGCCGCCCTTAATTATAATCTTTCAGACGTGTTAGAGATAATGGTGCCCATGTCTTTCACACTAAATTGTTGAGTACAAGACAACTCCTGGCAGCTTTTATAGGCCCAGGCAAATAAGAGCCTGGCGGCACACTCTGAATCATTCACACAACAAAGAGAGTATGCTTGGAGAAAGTGCACAAAACGCGCCCGGGGCAAAAATCACACTGCCCTATTTGCTGGGGAAAAAGAAACTGCCATCAGCTTTCTCTGCCCTCTGCTACACAGACGCTCATGCACAGTGATGGAAAAGAAGGTGGCCTCAAATTTTTAACAAATACGATTTTGTTCATAGGTGCCTCTGAATTTTTTTACAGAAGTATGAAGACATTTGTTTTGTTTTGTTTTAACTTGTTTGCCTAAGGATTCAGAACTTACTTTACAAAAGATGCTTTAGGAAAAACTTTACTTTCTCTGGAAGGTTGTCTCTTGTGCCTAAAATATCCTGCTATCAGCCAATTCCTCTTATCCTTTAAGGAAACAGTCATGATCTCATACAAAGAGCCTCCCTTGCAGTCTTGTCATCTCTCAGAACCTCTCCAGCACAAAGTAGGGCGTGCCTCATGCTTTCCTCTCTCATAAGATCCTCATCCCAAGTTCCTAGCAAGGATTTCGGGAAAGGACAGAATTTCTCTGCAGAAGACACAATGAGAGGTTGACTTACTCTATCAGGAGATGAGAGTACAAAAAGAAAGGGGTATTGGCGAAGAGTAAAAAAAGAGATTAATAGAGAAGACATTATTTGTAGAGTCCGAGTCAGATCAAAGAGCCCAAAAAGAGAAATCACTGGGGAAATGATAGTCTGAGAGGATTTTTTTTTGAATACAAGAATATCTAAGAAATTAATATAGGCTTCTGCTTTTGTTATCCTTTGTTTACTTTACTGTTGGTAGGATTTTTAGTTTAATGGTGCATGCTAGGTCCTCTCAGTTCTCCAGCATGCGCTGTCATAGACAGGAAGGCTGTGCACTGTGCTATTTATTTATTGATTTTTATTTGGAGAAAACCAGTAGAGGGATGGGTTTGATCCTTTGTCTGTGGTGAGGCACACAGGAAACAGAAGGAAACAAAGAAACCCAGAGCAAAGGGGAGCCCTGAGGTTTTCAATCTAGATTGTTGTCAGAAATCTCAGGGAGGGCTTTGGAGGCCTTGAAATCCAGGAACAGGAGGTGTGTTATTCACAGGTCCATGGCTGTGCAAATCTCAGCTGACACTCTGGGCTCTACAAGCCAATATGTAAAGCCTGAAATTTGACCTCATTTTTGAGGACAAAAGAATTTGGGCTTTGAAATTAGACCAAAAGTGTGTTTTGTTGAGAAGTTTCCCTTTGCTGAATGTGTGATTTTGAATAGAGTACACAGGCATCTCAGGTCTGTCTGCTCACCTACCCATGGGCATTATCAAAATCTCTAGTTAATTAATGAATGAATGAGTGATACATGTGGCTAGCAAATAATTGGCTAAATATAATTTTTTTTCTTTTTTTGCCCAAGGTTGGAAGAAAGAACATAATTATTTAGAGAAGTAAGAACCTCTCTCCTCTACATTCCAACACCCTCACTATTCTCCTAAACTGTATCTTTGAATTGTATTTTAAAGTACACGTCTCATCTGCAGAGTAAGCCCAGACCAGCATAGGATGCTGTGCTTGACACTTAAGTATAAGACATGGTTCAATAAGAAGACATTTATGCAGCCAGAAGACACATGAAAAAATGCTCACCATCACTGGCCATCAGAGAAATGTAAATCAAAACCACAGTGAGATACCATCTCACACCAGTTGGAATGACGATCATTAAAAAGTCAGGAAACAGGAAACAACAGGTGCTGAAGAGGATGTGGAGAAATAGGAACACTTTTACACTGTTGGTGGGACTGTAAACTAGTTCAACCATTGTGGAAGTCAGTATGATGATTCCTCAGGGGTCTAGAACTAGAAATACCATTTGACCCAGCAATCCCATTACTGGGTATATACCCAGAGGATTATAAATCATGCTGCTGTAAAGACACAAGCACATGTATGTTTATTGCAGCACTATTCACAATAGCAAAGACTTGGAACCAACCCAGATGTCCAACAATGATAGACTGGATTAAGAAAATGTAGCACATATACACCATGGAATACTATGCAGCCATAAAAAATGATGAGTTCATGTCCTTTGTAGGGACATGGATGAAGCTGGAAACCATCATTCTCAGCAAACTACCACAAGGACAAAAAACCAAACACTGCATGTTCTCACTCATAGGTGGGAATTGAACAATGAGAACACATGGACACAGGAAGGGGAACATCACACTCTGGGGACTGTTGTGGGGTGGGGGGAGGGGGGAGGGATAGCATTAGGAGATATACCTAATGTTAAATGATGAGTTACTGGGTGCAGCACACCAACATGGCACATATATACATATGTAACAAACTTGCACGTTGTGCACATGTACCCTATAACTTAAAGTATAATTTAAAAAAAAAAAGACATGGTTCAAGCGTCATAAGGAGTTCTGAGTTTCACTGTGGGGAGAAACCTGCATGCATAAGTGATGGACCAATAGAAAGGGTATTTCAATGAGCTCTAAAATGAGTGTAAAACACTAAAAGTGTCCTAGACACTGAAAGAAGAAAAGGTGAAAGTGGCTCAGAAGGGAGTTATGGAGAAGGAAAGAATTTAAATTTTCAGTGAATTTCTATCTTCAAAACATGTATTTTTCCAATTTTCTGTGACTTCTGAGATGTGGTACCTGACAACTCATCCTCTTGCTTTGTAAAAAAAAAATGTAGGGTTCTTTGAATATTTATGTTAACTTGTGGATTAGTTTTTACTTTTCTGAAGGAATCGAAGCCCCATAAATTCAAAGTTCTACTTGTTTAACCTTGTGGTGCTTGAAAAAAACACTGTTAGGGCCTGAATTGTTGCCCCCATCCACCTCCACCTAATTCATATGCTGAAGTCCTAACCTCTGCTATCTAAGAATGTGACTGTATTTGGAGAAAGGGCCTTTACAGTGGTAATTAATTAACATGAATCACTGGGGTAGACCCTAATCCAACATTATTAGTGTCCTTATGAGGAGAGAAAATACAGACACAGACATATACAAAGATAAGAGGATGTAAAGACATAGGGGAAATTGTCCATTTACAAGCCAAGAGGAAATACCTAAAACAGATCCTCTTTTCATGGACCTCAGAAAGAACTAGCACCACTCACAGCTTTATCTTGGACTTTTAGCCTCCATAATAGTGAGAAAATAAATTTCTGTAGTTTGAGCTGCCCAGTTTGTGAGGCTTTGTTATGGCAGCCCTAGCACATTTCTGCAACCACCAAGCAATACATCGTCTTCCCCAGCTTTTCCCAACTCCACAAACCATTAGGGAGAGATGATATTGTACATGCATCTCATCCTCTCTCAGAGTCTTGCTTTCTCCCTTTGTAAACTGGTTCAGTTGTGCTGAGTGATTTCCCTGATATCTTAGATCTTTCATTATATGATGTCATTTGTCAGTGGGCAGATTTAGTAAATGTGTTAATGCAAATGTATAGAGTAAAACTTGAGTGGTGAACTGTTTAAATTGCCCCATTGTCTGCAAATAGAAATATCTGCCTGTGTGCAACATATATAAAAATGGAACTTGTGTAGATTCAAGAGATTTTGTAAATATGAAATTAAAAGTTCTGGAGTCACAATTCCTCAGCAAACTCTGATTCTCCTCTTATTAGCTGTGTAATTTGATTAGGTCACTTAATATTGCTGATTCAGTTTCTTTTTCTATCAAGTGGCAACAAGAAAACTTATATCAAATTGTTGTGAGCCTCAAAATAAATAATGTATATGTCATTTAACACAATGCCTGTCACTGACAGGAGTGGAATAGATTATGAGTGTCCTTACTGTAATTTGTAACGGCACTATAGTGCCTGAAAGAGTATTCCAAGTAGTATCAAAGATACTGAATATCTCAAAGGACCAATTCGTAGCCTTGTCTTCAAAGAGCTTTGAGAGACCAGAGGCTTCTAGAGTCAGTGTGGTGGTATACTAACCAAATGAGAAGATTTGCTTTATAATTTGACTCAAATACAATAACTTGAACAAATTAACATCACCTACCAGCTTTGAAATTCTTTGATTCCATAGGTAGTAAAAATTTTGTGGTATACATTTTTTGTGTGATTTTTAACTAAACGTTAAAAAAGATATTAGTTGTTAATATTATTTAATGCTTATCAGTGACCCAGGGATTTGATTCCTACATTTTCAGCTCTAAAATTAAGGATGCCTCTGCAAAGGATAAGAAGAGCGGAGAGAATTTAAATGGAATTTTTTTATCCATGTGCTAACTCAAGAATTCCAACAGAAGATGTCTCTTTTGATTTGGCAAGTCATTCTCTGACAACCCAGGCAGTGTCACCTGAAAGCTTTTAGGATCCATCTGCAGGGAGCTAAAATGCTTCATACTCTGCATGTTTCTTTAGGGCTTATAGTGGTAGAGTTTGAAGTAATAACACACCCACAAATGCATTCTTCATTTTGGTTGTCAGTTTATTTCATCTGTTTAATCATTTCCTCCCTTCAAATAACCATTCTTTCATTCATCATTGAATAGGCTATGTATCAAATATCACACTAAGATTTTGATTTATAAAAGATATAAATACTGCATAATCCTTGTCCACGAAGGCCTCAAAGTCTAGTGGGGGAGTTAGGCCTGTTACAAATACAATCCACTATGATACAGTCCCAGAGATGCAGTGAGTACAAAATAGAAAAAAGGAAAGCATAAATGACAGAATTGCAGAATGAAAGCCTAAATCGTCCTACATGAAGGTGCAGTGGGAAGATCCATGTATCAGCTATGCTCTGACAGGTAGCAAAGCATCATCAAAGTTTAAATAAAAGATGTGGCATATAAATAGGTCCACTTATTTTAAAGACAACAGAACTAGAAATTACATTTATATAGTTGAAGAAAACCCATTCTTGTTGCTCTGGGAATGAGAGGACAGATGGAATTGCTTGCCATTCCTACCTTCAAGGAGCTCACCATTCACACCCAAGAGGCATGCCCCTCTGTCACCACCAAATGATACCAAGAAACTTACCGGGCATTTACTATATCCCAATTGTTATCAGTGCAAACTTTTGCTTAGCCCTATTTAACTGGCACTCTGAAACTTCATTTTATTGTTCTTTGTCAGGTCTCATAAAAACAAACAAAAAAACACACAACTTTTTATTTAGAAAAAAATTAAATTTACAGAATAACTGTGAACTTCATAGAGAAAGCTCCCATATACTCTGCACGCGGATCCCCTCAATACTAACATCTTACTTTAGTAAGGTGCATTTATTGCAATTAATAAACCAACACAAGTACATTACTGTCTTCTAAACTCACACTTTTTTTTTTTTTTGAGATGGAGTCTCGCTCTGTAGCCCAGACTGGAGTGCAGTGGCGCGATCTCGGCTCACTGCAAGCTCCACTCCCAGGTTCACGCCATTCTCCTGCCTCAGCCTCCAGAGTAGCTGGGACTACAGGCGCCCGCCACCGCGCCCGGCTAATTTTTTGTATTTTTAGTAGAGACGAGGTTTCACCGTGTTAGCCAGGATGGTCTCGATCTCCTGATCTCATAATCCACCCGTCTCGGCCTCCCAAAGTGCTGGGATTACAGGCGTGAGCCACCATGCCCGGCCTTTCCTTTTTTCTTTTCTTTTTTTTTTTTTTTTTTTTTTTTTTTTTTTTTTTTTTGAGACAGACTCTCACTCTGGTGCCCAGGCTGGAGGGCAGTGGCACGATCTTGGCTCACCGCAACCTCCGCCTCCCGGGTTCAGGAGATTTTTCACCCTCAGCCTCCAGAGTAGCTGGGACTACAGGCACGTGCCATCATGCCCAGATAATTTTTGTATTTTTAGTAGAGATTGGGTTTTACCATATTAGCCAGGCTGGTCTCGCACTCTCACCTCGTGATCCGCCCGCCTCGGCCTCCCAAAGTGCTGGGATTACAGGCATGAGCCACCGCGCCCAGGCTATTTTCTTAGTTTTAACCTAATGTTCATTTTCTCTTCCAGAACTCCATCCATATTACATTCCAGGACTCAATATGACATTATGTTGTTGCTGCTTCTCTTAAAGCTTCTCTTTCACTGTAAGCTTTTTAGAATTTCCATATTTGTAATGACCTTGACATTTCTGAGGAATATTCGTTGAGTGTTTCGTATACTCTATTTCGATCGTGATGTTTCTGGTCATTTTCTCGTAATTAGACTAGGGTTATGGATTTTGGGAAGTATGACTGGAGTAGTGTCATTTCCATCACATCATATGAAGTCAGATTATCAGCATGACTTCTTATTGTTGATGTTAATCTTCATCATAGAGTTGAGGTATTTTCTGTGTGGTTTTCCACTGTAAGTTACATTTTCCTCCCCCATTCATACTGTTATTCCTTGGAAGGAAGTTACTATGGGCAACCCACATATAGTTATGGTCCCTCTCCTTGAGGATAAAGCGTCTGGTAAAATTATTTGGATTCCTTCTGCATGGGAGATTTGTCTATTTTCCTCCTTTACTTATTTATTCAATCACTTATTTATACCAGAACAGACTCATAGACATTTATTTTATTTTTGGGGTTATAATTCAGTACACTTTGTTTTGGTGCTGAAATTGTTACAGCTATGGCCCCTGGGAGTCTTTCCTTCACCTCCTGTGTCCTTTTGATATGAGTTACCGTCTATTTGAGTGTGGGTGTTTTTTGTTTTTTTTTTTTTAATTTGGCACTTACTTCAGGGTAGTACAAGATGCTCCCCTAAGTATTTTATCTCTTTACTATAGATGTGAAAATTGAGGCTCAGACAGATCTGGTGATATGGCAAAATATTCCAGTTAGTGAATAACTGATCCATGTTTCAAACCCATTTTTGATTGGCTTTAGAATTCCTGTATTTTATTATTTTTATACCTTACCTATAAAAACAATGGAATGAGATGAGTTATTTGACCTAAAAATGTTAAACATAATTAAACTGTTTTGATTATTTGTTTAATTTGAGTGTGTAATGTTCTCAGCTCTCTATATTCTTTTAAGATCCTTTAAGATGTTTCTTTTTTTAAAAAAAAATATTTTTCCATAAGGTATTGAGGTACCGATGGTATTTAATTACATGAGTAAGTTCTTTAGTGGAGATTTGTAAGAACCTGATGCACCCATTACCTAAGCAGTAAACACTGCACCATATTTGTTGTCTTTTATCCCTCTCTCCCATCCCACTCTTCCCCCCAAGTCCCCAAAGTCCATTGTATCATTCTTATGCCTTTGCGTCCTTTTATGTTCTCACTGATATGTGGGAGCTCAGCTCTATGTTTTTGAACACTGCAATATATTAGGTACCATGTTCATTGATAGTCATTTATCCATCCAACAAATATGTTGAAGCACCGACGCTTGGCCATGTGTCATGTTAGAAGTTGGGATGAATTCAAGGGCAAGTGGACACAATCAAGGAGACTGCTCTCCTAGAGAGCTCAATGACAGGTGTGCAGCATAATTAGGACATCACGTAACATTTGATGATTATACCTACATGTTAGCCCTTTCAGAGATTATAAATCTAAAATCAATTTCAGTGAGCTAATAGCATAGAGTCATCAGCAAAGCATTCCTTCTGCAGGCTGTAAAAAACAAGCCATTTCCTTGCCTTTCCTAACTTCTAGAAGCCACCAGCATTCCTTAGTTCATAGGCACTTTCTCCGTCTTCAAAGAGCTTAATTTCAACCTGTTTCCTTGATATTATCTCCTTCTGCCTTTAACTTTCTAGTCTTTCTCTAAGAAGTCTTGGTTACATAAGACACATCAGATAATCCAGGATAATCTTCCCTCTCAAGATGCTTTTATTTTACTTTTATTTGTACAAAGTTTTGGGGTACATGTGCAATTTTGTTACATGCATGGATTGTGTAGTGGTCAAGAGTCAGGGTTAAGATATCCATAACCCAAATAATATACACTGTACCTATTAACTAACTTCTCATCAACCCCCTCCAACCCCTGCACCCTTCTGAGTCTCCCTTGTCTATCATTCCACTCTCTATGTCAATGTGTACACATTTTTAGCACCTACTTATGAATGAGAATATATGATATTCGACTTTCTGTACATGGTTTGTTTCACTTAAAATAATAACCACAAGCTCTGTCCATGTTGCTGCAAAAGATGGGATTTCATTCTTTTTTACAGATGACTAGTATTCCATTGTTTATATATATATATATATCATATTTTCTATCCATTAATCTGTTGATTGATGCTTCAATTGATTCCATGTCTTTGCTATTATGAATAGTGCTATGATAAACATACAAGTGAATTTATCTTTTTGATATATTAATGTATTTTCCTTTGGGTAGATACCCAGTACTGGGATTGCTGGATCAGATGATAATTCTATTTTTAAGTTATTTTGAGAAATCTCCATGCTGTTTTTCATAGAAGTTTTACTAACTTGTATTTCCATCAACAATGTATAAGAGTTCCTGGGGCCAGGCTCAGTGGCTTACATGTGCAACCCCAACACTTGAGAGGCTAAGGTGGGAGGGTCACTTGAGCACAGGAGTTCAAGACCAGCCTAGGCAACATAATGAGACCATTTCTCTACAAAACAAACAAACAAACAAAAGGAAAAATTAACTGTGCATGGTGGTGCACAACTGTAGTCTCAACTACTTGGGAGGCTGAGGCAGGAGGATTGCTTGAACCCAAGAAGTCGAGGCTGTGCTAAGCCTTGAGCATCCCACTGCACTCCAGCCTGGGTGACAGAGTGAAATACTCTTCCAGAAAAAAAAAAAAAAGGTTCCCTTTTCTTCACATCCTCATCAGCATCTGTTATTTATTTTTGTCTTTTTAATAATGGCCATTCTGACAGTTGTACAATGATATCTCCTTGTAGTTTTAATTTTCATTTCTCTAATTAGTGATGCTGAGCATTTTTTTATGTATCTATTAGTTATTTGTATGTCTTCTTTTGAAACGTGTCTATTAATGTCCCTTGCCCAGTTTTTAAAGGGATTGTCTTTGTTGTGGTTGTTAAGTTGCTTGAGTTTTGTATGTATTCTGGATATTAGCCACCTGTCAGATGAATAGTTTACAAATATTTTCTCCCATTCTACTGGTCTGTTTACTCTGTTGTTTCTTTTGCAATGTGGAAGCTTTTCAGGTAATTAAGTCTCATTTGGGTATTTTTGGTTTCATTGCTTCTGCTTTTGGGGTCTTAGTCATAAATTCTTTGCCAAAACCAATGTCGAGAAGAGTTTCCCCTGCGTTTTCTTCTAATATTTTTGTAGTTTAGAGTCGTAGTTTAAGTCTTTAATCTATCTAGAGTTGATTTTTTATATGTGGTAAGAAATAGGGATCCAGTTTCATTCTTTTGCATATAGTAATCCCATTTTCCCAGCATCATTTTTTTGAAAAGGATGTCCTTTCCCCAATATAAGTTCTTGTCAGCTTTGCCAAAGGTCAGTTGGCTGTACATAAATATATGGCTTTCTTTCTGGATTCTTTATTCTGTTCCATTGATCTGTTTATTTTTATAACGCTACCATGCTGTTTTGGTCACCATACATTTATAATATTATTTGAAGTCAGAAAATGGGAGGTCTTCAGCTTTATTCTTTTTGCTCAGGATTGCTTTAGTATCCAGGCTCTTTTATGATTCCATGTGAATTTTAGGCTTGTGCTTTCTAATTCTGTGCAAAATAACGCTGGTATGTTGGTCAAGTTTGCATTGAACCTGTACATCGCTTTGGGCAGTATGGCCATTTTAACAATATAAATATTTTGATTCATAATCATGGGATTTTTTTCATTTGTTTTTGTTATCTATAATTTCTTTTATCAGTGTTTTGTAGTTTTTTCTTACAGAGATCCTTCACCTCCTTGGTTAAATTAATCTCTGGATTTTTTTTTGGTAGCTATTGTAAATGAGATTGCCTTCTTGAACATTATTGGTGTATAGAAATGTGACTAATTTTTGTACGTTAATTTTGCATTCTGCAACTTTACTAAATTCCTTTATTAAATCTAAGAGGTTTTTTTGATGGAGTCTTTAAGATTTTATAAATATAAAATCATGTCACCGGCAAACAGGAATACTTTACTCCCTCTTTTCCAATTTAGATATCTTTTATTTCTTTCTCTTGCCTGATTGCCCTGACAAGGTCTATCAGTATATGTTGAATACAATTAGTGAGAGTGGGCATCCTTGTCTTGTTTCAGTTCTTAGAGGAAATACTTTGAAATTTTCCCCATTCAGTATAATATGAGCTGTGGGTTTTTCATATATGGCCTTCATTATTTTGAGGTATGTTTCTTCTATGCTATGCCTAGTTTCTTGAGGGTTTTTATCATAAAGTGATACAGACTTTTATCAAATCCTTTTTTCTGCATCCATTGAGAAAATATCATTTTTTGTACCTGATTCTTCTATTTATGTGATACATCACATTTATTGATTTACATAGGTTGAACCATTTGTGCATTTCTAGTATAAAACCCACTTGATCATTGTGGATTATCTTTCTGATCTGCTGTTGGATTCAGTTTGCCAGTATTTTGCTAAAGATTTTTGTGTTTATGTTCATTAGAGATACTGGTTTGTAGTTTTCTCTTTTTGTTGTTTGTGTGTGTGTGTGTGTGTGTGTGGTTTGATATCAGGGTGATAATGGCCTTGTAGAACAAGTTAGGTAGACATATCTCCTCGATTTTTTGGAACAGTTTCAGGATAATTGTTATTAGTTCTTTTTTGTATGTTTGGTAAAATTCAGCTGTGAATTCCTCTGTTCCCGGGCTTTTCCTTGTTAGGAGATTTTTTGTTACTGATTCAATCTTGCTACTCATTATTGGTCTGTTCAGGCTTTCTATTTCTTCTTGGTTCAATCTTGGAAGGTTGTATCTCTCCAGAAATTTATCCATTTCCTCTAGGTTTTTTAGTTCGTAAGCATATAGTTGTTCAAAATAGTCTGATGATCTTTTGAATTTCTGTGATAATCAGTTTAATGTGTCCTTTTTCATTTCTGATTTTGCTTCCTTGGGTCTTCTCACTTTTTGGTTGTAAGAGCTAGCATTGTATCAACTTTGTTTATCTTTTCAAAGAACCAACTTTTTGTCTTGTTAATCCTTTTTATTGTTTTCTTATTTTTAATTTCATTTAGTTCTGCTTCCATTTTTTTTTCTTCTGCTAATTTGGGGCTTGGTCTTTTCTTGCTTTTCTAATTCCCTGAGGTATGTTGACTTTGTAACCTTTTTTGTTTTTTGATGTAAGCATTTAATGCTATAATCTTCCCTCTTATAACTGCTTTTGCTGTATCCCACAGGTTTTAGTATATTGTGTTTTCATTTGTCCTTTTTTTTTCCATTTCCATCTTAACTAGTGTTTTTAATCCAATGGTCATGCGGTAGCATGTTGTTTAATTTCCATGTATTTGTATAGCTTCAAAAGCATTTTTTGGTATTGATTTCTAGTTTAATTATGTTATGCTCTGCGAAGATACTTAATATGATTTCAATTTTTAAAAAATTTATTGAGATTTGTTTTGTTGCCTAGCATATGGCCTATCTTGGAGAATGTTACATGTGCTGATGAAAAGAATGTATATTCTGCAATTGTTAGTGTGTTCTGTAAATGTCTGTTAGGTCCATTTTGTTTAAAGTCCAATTTAGAGCCAATGTTTCTTCTTCTTCTTCTACTTTTTTTTTTTTTCAGATGGAGTCTTACTCTGTCACCCAAGCTGGAGTGCAGTGGCACAGTCTCATCTCACTTTAACCTAATGCCTCCTGGATTCAAGAGATTCTCGTGCCTCAGCCACCAGAGTAGCTGGGATTACAGGTGCACACCACCACACCCAGCTAATTTTTTTTTTTTTTTTTTTTGTATTTTTAGTAGAGACAGTGTTCTGCCATGTTGGCCAGGCTGGTTTTGAACTACTGGCCTCAAGTGATCCACCAACCTTGGCCTCCCAAAGTGCTGGAATTATGGGTGTGAGGCACCAAACCCAGCCAGGTCCAATGTCTTCTTGTTAATTTTCTGTGTAGACAATGTGTCTAATGCTGTGAGTCAGGTGTTGAAGTTCCTCAATATGACTGTATTGCTGTCTATCTCTCTCTTTAGGTCTACTAATATTTGTTTCATGAGTCTGAGTGCTCCAGTGATCCTTACCACATCTGTAAAGTTTTCTTTTGACATGTAAAGTAAAATAGGCACTGTTTCTCAGCATAAAGACATGAACATTTTTTGGTTGGAGGGCATTATTTAGCCTATCACACCCCTCTGTAATGGTGTGTTTGAGTGCTTATGCCTGTCTATAGATGCCTCTAACTCACTGCTTCTCTTTATATATATATATACATATATATATATATATATACACACACACATATATACACATATATATGTATATATATATACACATATATATGTGTGTGTATATATATATATATAAAATTATACTTTAAGTTCTAGGGTACATGTGCACAACGTGCAGGTTTGTTACATATGTATACATGTGCCATGTTGGTGTGCCGTACCCATTAACTCATCATTTACATTAGGTATATCTCCTAATGCTATCCCTCCCCCATCCCCTCACCCTACAACAGGCCCTCACCCTACAACATCCCCTCACCCTACAACAACAACACCCTACAACAGGTGTGTGATGTTCCCCTTCCTGTGACCATGTGTTTTCATTGTTCAATTCCCACCTGTGAGTGAGAACATGCGGTGCTTGGTTTTTTGTCCTTGCGATAGTTTGCTGAGAATGATGGTTTCCAGCTTCATCCATGTCCCTACAAAGGACATGAACTCATCATTTTTTATGGCTGCATAGAATTCCATGGTGTATATGTGCCACATTTTCCTAATCCAGTCTATCATTGTTGGACATTTGGGTTGGTTCCAAGTCTTTGCTATCGTGAATAGTGCCACAATAAACATACGTGTGCATGTGTCTTTATAGCAGCATGATTTATAATCCTTTAGGTATATACCCAGTAATGGGATGGCTGGGTCAAATGGTATTTCTTGTTCTAGATCCCTGAGGAATCGCCACACTGACTTCCACAATGGTTGAACTAGTTTACAGTCCCACCAACAGTGTAAAAGTGTTCCTATTTCTCCACATCCTATCCAGCACCTGTTGTTTCCTGACTTTTTAATGATCGCCATTCTAATTGGTGTGAGATGGTATCTCACTGTGGTTTTGATTTGCATTTCTCTAATGGCTAGTGATGATGAGCATTTTTTCATGTGACTTTTGGCTGCATAAACGTCTTCTTTTGAGAAGTGTCTGTTCATATCCTTTGTCCACTTTTTGACGGGGTTGTTTGTTTTTTTCTTGTAAATTTGAGTTCTTTGTAGCTTCTGGATATTAGCCCTTTGTCAGATAAGTAGATTGCAAAAATTTTCTCCCATTCTGTAGGTTGCCTGTTGACTATGATGGTAGTTTCTCTTGCTGTGCAGAAGCTCTTTAGTTTAATTAGATTCCATTTGTCAATTTTGGCTTTTGTTGCCATTGCTTTTGGTGTTTTAGACATGAAGTCCTTGCCCATGCCTGTGTCCTAAATGGTATTGCCTACGTTTTCTTCTAGGGTTTTTATGATTTTAGGTCTAACATTTAAGTCTTTAATCCATCTTGAATTAATTTTTGTATAAGGTGTAAGGAAGGGATCCAGTTTCAGCTTTCTCCATATGGCTAGCCAGTTTTCCCAGCACCATTTGTTATATAGGGAATCCTTTCCCCATTTCTTGTTTTTGTCAGGTTTGTCAAAGATCAGATAGTTGTAGATGTGTGGTATTATTTCTGAGGGCTCTGTTCTATTCCATTGGTCTATATCTCTGTTTTGGTACCAGTGCCATGCTGTTTTGGTTACTGTACCCTTGTAGTACAGTTTGAAGTCAGGTATCGTGATGCCTCCAGCTTTGTTCTTTTGGCTTAGGATTGACTTGGCAATGCAGGCTCTTTTTCGGTTCCATATGAAATTTAAAGTAGTTTTTTCCAGTTCTGTGAAGAAAGTCATTGGTAGCTTGATGGGGATGGCATTGAATCTATAAATTACCTTGTGCAGTATGGCCATTTTCATGATATTGATTATTCCTATCCATGAGCATGGAATATTCTTCAATTTGTTTGTATCCTCTTTTATTTCATTGAGCAGTGGTTTGTAGATCTCCTTGAAGACGTCCTTCACATCACTTGTAAGTTGGATTCCTAAGTATTTTATTCTCTTTGAAACAATTGTGAATGGGAGTTCACTCATGATTTGGCTCTCTGTTTGTCTGTTATTGGTGTATAAGAATGCTTGTGATTTTTGCATATTGATTTTTGTATCCTGAGACTTTGCTGAAGTTGCTTATCAGCTTAAGGAGATTTTCGGCTGAGACAATGGGGATTTCTAGATATACAATCATGTCATCTGCAAACAGGGACAATTTGACTTCCTCTTTTCCTAATTAAATACCCTTTATTTCTTTCTCTTGCCTGATTGCCCTGGCCAGAACTTCCAACACTATGTTGAATAGGAGTGGTGAGAGAGAGCATCCCTGTCTTGTGCCAGTTTTCAAAGGGAATGCTTCCAGTTTTTGCCCATTCAGTATGATATTGGCTGTGGGTTTGTCATAAATAGCTCTTATTATTTTGAGATACGTCCCATCAATACCTAATTTATTGAGAGTTTTTAGCATGAAGGGCTGTTGAATTTTGTCAAAAGTATTTTCTGCATCTATTGAGATAATCATGTGGTTTTTGTCTTTAGTTCTGTTTATATGCTGGATTACATTTATTGATTTGCGTATGTTGAACCAGACTTGCATCCCAGGGATGAAGCCTACTTGATCATGGTGAATAAGCTTCTTTTTTTTTTTTTTTTTTTTTAATTTTTTTTTTAATTTTTTTTTTTTTTTATTATACTCTAAGTTTTAGGGTACATGTGCACATTGTGCAGGTTAGTTACATATGTATACATGTGCCATGCTGGTGCGCTGCACCCACTAACGTGTCATCTAGCATTAGGTATAAGCTTTTTGATGTGCTGCTGGATTTGGTTTGCCAGTATTTTATTGAGGATTTTTGCATTGATGTTCATCAGGGATATTGGTCTAAAATTCTCTTTTGTTGTTGTGTCTCTGCCAGGCTTTGGTATCAGGATGATGCTGGCCTCATAAAATGAGTTAGGGAGGATTTCCTCTTTTCCTATTGATTGGAATAGTTTCAGAAAGAATGGTACCAGCTCCTCCTTGTACCTCTGGTAGAATTCGGCTGTGAATCCATCTGGTCCTGGACTTTTTTTGGTTGGTAAGCTATTAATTATTGCCTCAATTTCAGAGCCTGTTATTGGTCTATTAAGAGATTCAACTTCTTCCTGGTTTAGTCTTGGGAGGGTGTCTGTGTCGAGGAATTTATCCTTTTCTTCTACATTTTCTAGTTTATTTGCATAGAGGTATTTATAGTATTCTCTGATGGTAGTTTGTTTTTCTGTGGGATCAGTGGTGATATCCCCTTTATCATTTTTTATTGCATCTATTTGATTCTTCTCTCTTTTCTTCTTTATTAGTCTTGCTAGAGGTCTATCAATTTTGTTGATCTTTTCAAAAAAGCGAGCTCCTGGATTCATTGATTTTTTGAAGGGTTTTTTGTGTCTCTACCTCCTTCAGTTCTGCTCTGATCTTAGTTACTTCCCGCCTTCTGCTAGCTTTTGAATGTGTTTGCTCTTGCTTCTCTAGTTTTTTTAATTGTGATGTTAGGGTGTCAATTTTCGATCTTTCCTGCTCTCTCTTGTGGGCATTTAGTGCTATAAATTTCCCGCTACAAACTACTTTAAATGTGTCCCAGAGATTCTGGTATGTTGTGTCTTTGTTCTCATTGGTTTCAAAGAACATCTTTATTTCTGCCTTCATTTCGTTATGTACCCAGTAGTCATTCAGGAGCAGGTTGTTCAGTTTCCATGTAGTTGAGCGGTTTTGAGTGAGTTTCTTAATCCTGAGTTCTAGTTGGATTGCACTGTGGTCTGAGAGACAGTTTGTTATAATTTCCGTTCTTTTTCATTTGCTGAGGAGTGCTGTACTTCCAACTATGTGGTCAGTTTTGGAATAGGTGCAGTGTGGTGCTGAGAAGAATGTATATTCTGTTGATTTGGGGTGGAGAGTTCTGTAGATGTCTATTAGGTCCTCTTGGTGCAGAGCTGAATTCAATTCCTGGATATCCTTGTTAACTTTCTGTCTTGTTGATTTGTCTAATGTTGAAAGTGGAGTGTTAAAGTCTCCCATTATTATTGTGTGGAAGTCTAAGTCTCTTTGTAGTTCTCTAAGGACTTGCTTTACAAATCTGGGTGCTCCTGTATTGGGTGCATATATATTTAGGATAGTTAGCTCTTCTTGTTGAATTGATCCCTCTACCATTATGTAATGGCCTTGTCTCTTTTGATCTTTGTTGGTTTAAAGTCTGTTTTATCAGAGACTAGGATTGCAACCCATGCCTTTTTTTGTTTTCCACTTGCTTGG
This sequence comes from Homo sapiens, assembly GCF_000001405.40. NCBI lineage: Eukaryota > Metazoa > Chordata > Mammalia > Primates > Hominidae > Homo > Homo sapiens. Next base: position 137,242,675 of record NC_000008.11, on the reverse strand, counting down.
TAAATCTTCCTCCATCCCTTTATTTTGAGCCTATGTGTGTCTCTGCACGTGAGATGGGTTTCCTGAGTACAGCACACTGATGGGTCTTGACTCTATCCAATTTGCCAGTCTGTGTCTTTTAATTGGAGCATTTAGCCCATTTACATTTAAGGTTAATATTGTTATGTATGAATTTGATCCAGTCGTTATGATGTTAGCTGGTTATTTTGCTCGTTAGTTGATGCAGTTTCTTCCCAGCATCGATGGTCTTTACAATTTGGCATGTTTTTGCAGTGGCTGGTACTGGTTGTTCCTTTCCATGTTTAGTGCTTCCTTCAGGAGCTCTTGTAGGGCAGACCTAGTGGTGACAAAATCTCTCAGCCTCTAACTCAGTGCTTCTCAACTGGGGTGGTTTTGCTTCTAGAAGAGCACCGGAAAAATCCGTAGATGTTTTTTATTTGTCAGGACTAAGTATGCTACCAGCATTTAGGGGGTAAGTCAAGGATGCTATTAAAAAATCCTCCAAAGCACACGACAGTCCACCACAACAAGGCTAAGGCAAGGAAGCCCTGATCTAGATAAATATGCAATGGGTGGCAGGAAAATAAAAAGACAGATATAAAACTATAAGATAAGTATTACAAGGCTGGGTGCAGCGGCTGATGCCTGTAATCCCAGCACTTTTGGAGGCCGAGGCTGGCAGATCACGAGGTCAGGAGATTGAGACCATCCTGGCCAACACCATGGAAGCCCATCTCTACTAAAAATACAAAAAATTAGCCAAGCATAGTGGCTCATGCCTGTAGTCCCAGCTACTCTGGAGGCTGAGGCAGGGGAATCGTCTGAATCCGGGAGGCAGAGGTTGCAGTGAGCAGAGATCGTGCCCCTGCACTCCAGTCTGGGTGACAGAGGGAGACTGTCCCAAAATAAATACATGAATAAATAAGATAAAATAAGTATTAAAATAGTAATATGTATGACTTGCAGAGGGAGAAATTCTTGATTCTCCTAAATAGTAATATTTGAAATGAGACATAAAGAATGAATTAAACTCCCAATAAAACCATCTGTGTTCTAGGTATAATATCTATCTGTGTTAGATATTATGGAGAAGTGAGAATTCTTGTGTAAATTTGTCATAGAATAGCATGGTGTGTCGCGTGCCTCTCCCAGAGCTTGAGTAGTGCTAAAGTATAAACTAAGTGATGGGTGAAAAGTCTTTTGGGAGATATAGTTTAGATTCACGTGACTGCTGAACCATGAAGGCTGTGTGCTATGATATTGAACTTAGACCGTGTCTGGGGGTAGTGGAAAATCTCTCAGGGATTTAACAAATACAGTGATTTTAAAGTAGATCTTAGAGCAATGCTTGAAATTATTTCACCTTTCTTAAGGATAAAACATATTAAACATTTCAGGTATATCAACAATTATGTTTTAGAAAGTAACTGTATCTTAGAATTTTCCACGCAGAAGAGGCTTAGAGATCATCTAAAAGTAACTCCTACAATTTTACATTTTATAGTTGCCTGACATATTCAGAAAAAAGAAAATAAAACTATTTTTATATTATTTATGTCAGTTGTTCATACAACACACTTTTGAGCTATGCAGAGGTGGTATTATTATCAATATTTTACAGTTGTAAAAAAAGCTAATTTTTATGTGATTTTATTGCAGTTAGTGCTGTTATTCCTGCACCCAACTACCAAGTAACCACCCTCACACGGTGTTTGTGAATCATTTACAGCATAGTATGAATGAGTTTCAGAAATTTTATTCAACACAACTCACAATGAAAGAGCAGAAAAAGGACAAGGGGTTAAAGTCTATAGTCCTGGCTTACATTATCCATGTAAGTATTTATTTTCTGTGGTCTTCAGCAAGTAATATCTAATCTCTTCTATGAATTAGGTTTTTTTAAAAATTATCTTTAATGTTTACATGCAACATTTCTTATTATGCGGATTCAAAGCAAAAATGTAAATTCATTTATTTGTTCAAATGTACTGAGTGCTGTAATGTGCCAAATAATGTTTTTGTTTGTTCGTTTGTTTGTTTTTACTTTGGGGATTTGAAAAGGAGCAAAATCTTGTCTGCACCTACGAGAAGTCATAGTTTAATGGGGGATAAATATGTGAAAACCAATTACTCCAACCACTGTCCATGGTGGTGACTGGAAAGACTCTGTGCCAAGCTTTGCAGAGAACACATAGAAGGCCAAGTCACCCAGCCCAGGAAGAACAGCAAGGCCTCTTAGAGGAGGGGACGCTGAGCTGGAACATTAAGAAGTGAAAACATGCTGTCATATACAGTAAAGAGTTATTACTAATGAGGGAGTAAAAAATGGTTCTTTATTAGAAAAGGATATAGATGCTGAATTACTTTACATCAGCTGCCAAAACAAAATACCACTGACTCAGTGGTTTAAGCAACAGAAATGCATTTTCTCATGGTTCAAGAGGCTTGACATCCAAGATTAAGGTTCTGATAAATTAAACTTCTGATGAGGGTTTTCCTTCCAGTTTGTAGGTAGCCACGTTCTTACTCTATCCTCTTACGGCCTTTTTTCTGTGTCAGTGTGGAGAGAGAGCAAGCGCTAGTGTCTCTTTCTCTTCTTATAAAAACACCAGTCGTATAGGATTAGGGCCCTACCCTATGACCTTATTTAATTTTAATGATGACCATAAAATCTCTAACTTGCAATACAGTTACATTGGGATTTTACACTTCAACATATGAAGGGAGACGCAATTCAGTCCACAGCAAACACTTACATTTGGAAAATAGAACAAAACTCGGGGCCTGAATAACTAAAGGCCTCAGTTGTTTTAGAGTTTTGTGAAGAATCAGAGAAGAGCTGAATAAAAATGAGCTGTCACTGGTCATAAGCGCTGTGGGTTGGCTGTGAATGCATGGGGGAGCTGTGCCCATAGCCCTCAAACAGAGTACAGAGCTCAAAGGTTCTAAAGCAGTTCATCAAAATTCCAAGCAAAATCACAGCCCTAACAAATTAGGATGTTCATATATCCTGCAGGGCAACAGAAGATGCTCATGGCACAGTATGTATATAACAAACTCTGGGAAATGAAAAAAAAATGCATACCCAACAACGTTTTAATTACCCTTCCTTACACTTAAAGCTACAAACGTCTCCCACTGTGATTGTGTTAGTAATGGGTTGTAAGACTTCTGTCCTCTGAGGAAAGCAATCTGAGTATGGCCTAGATTTTCTAGGCTGTGTTTTGGAGATGGCAAAAATGTCCTTGAATTTAGTCAATTTGCTACTTTCTGGCAAAAATAAAAATAAATCAGATCAAGTAACAAAAAAAACTCTTCAAAAATCTTTAATAATAACACATCCCTGATGAAGTTCAGTGAAGTGGAATGGAAGTAGAATAACACTAGAATCAAATAGTTTATGAAATTCAGGAACCTACACTTAATGTAATTCACTGGGACTTTCTTAAGTTCTCTGAGCCTCAGCTTTTTTATCTATAAACGGGGAAAAACAATGTCTAGCTTATAATGATCTACAGGATGCATGTGCCATGTTTTTGGCAAAGCTCTACTCATGTTGGAGAGCAAGAGCTCTACTATCCTCCTTTTCAGAGAAGCACCACTTTCTTTGAACTTGGTCAAGTTAAAGAGGATTCTGAGTCATGGGGCAGAATTTTCTATTGGGGAGAAATCCACACTTGGAATCAGACTCAGATTTCAATCCTTACATCTTTCTTACTGGTGATATGAACTGGTATTTTCCTAATCCCACTAAGCTTTAATTAATTTATCATGGTCCTATTCTCTAAATGTTTGTGTCCCCTCAGAATTCCTATGTTGAAACCTAATCACCAAAGTGATGGTATTAGGACGTGGGGCTTTGAAAGGAGATTAGTTCCGGAGGGCAGAGCCCTCCTGAGTGGGATTAGTGCCCTTATAAATTACCCAGCTTAAAGGGTTTGTTATAGCAACCCACATGGACAAAGATACATGTATTTTCTTTACATGAAGATAATAGCACAGTCTTCTCTGTATCATATAAGAATTCACTGTGAATATATGCAGCACTAGGATATAGTAGCTTCAACAGTTAGAAGGTTGTTTTTTGTTTTTACTATCTTTTATGTGTGTTTCAGCCATGGTAAGAGATACTATAACTTTGAGATGATATATATGTTCTTGTTGTCTTCACCAGCCCTTGATATTCTTTACACTAGGACCAAAAATTCAGATGGAGCTGAACCTGTAAGTAAGGCCACATTGATGTGCGCAATTAGGGAATATAGGAAAGTCCAGGGTAAAACTGAGACAGCAAATCGCATTTTCTATATGGAATTTCTATTTATATCTCTTGGGAGAATGCTTACACGTCTTATTTTTCACATCTATGGACAAACAGTCGAAATTAAAGCTCCAAGTTCAAGAACAGGCCTCAGATCAACATGACACAGATTGCAAGGGAGGCAGGTACCCTGCATCTAGGAGTGCTGCCAGCTGTGACATATTGTCTCACTGTGAAAGGCAATAGTTCCAATCTACCACTGATCCGGCTGCAAATAAAACCCAGGACAGTTTTTAAGAGGTATCATTTTATTGATTGACCACTGAGATACAAGAAAAAGATTTATTGAGATTATTTGAAATGCCCTGAGCTCTAAAGGAATATATATATAAATATATATTATACATATAAATATATATAATATATATTATATATTATGCATATAAACATATAATACATAATATACATATAAAATATATATAATACATAATATATTATACCTATAAAATATATATAATACATAATATATTATACCTATAAAATATATATAATACATAATATATTATACCTATAAAATATATATAATACATAATATATTATACCTATAAAATATATATAATACATAATATATTATACCTATAAAATATATATAATACATAATATACATATAAAACACATATAATACATAATATATTATACATATAAAACATATATAATACATAATATACATATAAAACATATATAATATATAATATATATTATACGTATAAAACATATACAATATATATGTTATACATATAAAACATATACAATATATAATATATGTTATACGTAAAAACATATACAATATATAATATATGTTATACGTATAAAACATATACAATATATAATATATGTTATACGTATAAAGCATATACAATATATATGTTATACGTATAAAACATATACAATATATAATATATGTTATACGTATAAAACATATACAATATATAATATATGTTATACGTATAAAACATATACAATATATATTATATGTTATACGTATAAAACATATACAATATATATTATGTTATACGTATAAAACATATACAATATATATTATATGTTATACGTATAAAACATATACAATATATATTATATGTTATACGTATAAAACATATATAATATATTATATATTATATGTATAAAACATATACAATATATAGTATATATTATACATGTAAAACATATACAATATATTATATATTATACATGTAAAACATACAATATATATTATATATTATACATGTAAAACATATACAATATATATTATATATTATACATGTAAAACATTTACTATATATTATATATTATACATGTAAAACATATACTATATATTATATATTATACATGTAAAACATATACAATATATATTATATATTATACGTATAAAACATATACAATATATATTATATATTATACATGTAAAACATACAATATATTATATATTATACATGTAAAACATATACAATATATATTATATATTATACATGTAAAACATATACAATATATATTATATATTATACATGTAAAACATATACTATATATTATATATTATACATGTAAAACATATACAATATATATTATATATTATACATGTAAAACATATACAATATATATTATATATTATACATGTAAAACATATACAATATATATTATATATTATACATGTAAAACATATACTATATATTATATATTATACATGTAAAACATATACAATATATATTATATATTATACATGTAAAACATATACAATATATATTATATATTACACATGTAAAACATATACAATATATATTATATATTACACATGTAAAACATATACAATATATATTATATATTACACATATAAAACATATAATATATATTAATATTATACATATAAAACATATAGAATATATATTATATATTATACATATAAAACATATAGAATATATATTATATATTATACATATAAAACATATAGAATATATATTATATATTATACATATAAAACACAGAATATATATTATATATTATACATATAAAACATATAACATGTATAATATATTATACATATAAAACATATAACATGTATAATATAAAACATATCACATATATATTATATATTATACATATAAAACATATCACATATATATTATATATTATACATATAAAACATATCACATATATATTATATATTATACATATAAAACATATCACATATATATTATATATTATACATATAAAACATATCACATATATATTATATATTATACATATAAAACATATCACATATATATTATATATTATACATATAAAACATATCACATATATTATATATTATACATATAAAACATATCACATATATTATATATTATACATATAAAACATATCACATATATTATATATTATACATATAAAACATATCATATATATTCTATATTATACATATAAAACATATAACATATATTCTATATTATACATATAAAACGTATAACATATATTATACATATAAAACGTATAACATATACTATATATTATACATATAAAACGTATAACATATACTATATATTATACATATAAAACGTATAACATATACTATATATTATACATATAAAACGTATAACATATACTATATATTATACATATAAAATATATAACATATACTATATATTATACATTATATATTATATAATAGAAATATGTATTTATACTAAACAAGCACAATTATATGTATACATTTTTATATTATATATAAAATATGTATAATTGTGCTTATTTTCTCCAGGATGTATATATATATAGTTAGATTATATATAATATATATGTATTGTCTTGACAAAAACCCATCTAACATGAAAGCCAAGATTCTAAAGAAGATCTGGGTTGCAAAGAAGGACACAAGCAGAGCGTCACTCCCAGAAATTAGAGAAGCATGTAATAAAGAGAAACAGGGAGACACCTCAAACTCAGTAGTGTTCAATACAGCCATTTAGATAAGGGTGGGGCTGGAGGCAAAGGGGAAGAGCAGGGGAACCTTCTGTGAATCTATCTGTTATGAGAAGGCTTGGATATTGGAAGTGTTCAATATAAATCTCATCTCATATTTATTCCCTTCTATCAGAAAGGGCTTAGAAAACCAAGTGGATTGCTCTTAAAAATACAAATTATCTGCAGAATCTGAGTCATTGGGAAAACAGAACGATGAAACTAGAGTAGAGCTTGTTTCCAGTTATGTCGGTTGCTCATCATTTTTTCAACAATTTATGCCCAATCATACATTTGTACCTTTGCGTATGCTATTGTTTCAGTCTGGAATAATACTTTTTCTCCCTGTCTCAAAATGAGTAAGCCTCATTTTTAAAATGTTCATCTCCAATACTAAGTCCATCTGCCCAGTCTTTCTTGAATGTCCCACTCACCATTACAGATAGAATAAATGTCTTTCTGCTCTTGGCCTCCCTGGAAACTTGCACCTCCCATGAGGACTGCACTTTCCGGTTATGTCATAGTGACTAGTTTACTTGAGTTTTCTTAACCAGTCTTGAGCTGACCAAATAGATCTAGTAATTTTGCAAACATCTAACAAATAATAAAAAGAATTTTTTTTTGGCCCATAGTGAAACTTGACATCTAGAATGTGAAATGATTTGGAAGTTCAGAAATATAGTAGCTTACCAATCTCTCTCAGCAGGAAGGAGGATCTCTATTACTTGTTTGTGATTTAAATTTTCAATTTTAATCTCTGGTGCAGTCATAGAAAAAGGACAAAAATGTTAAAAATGGGAGCAGCATGCTAGTCCTAATGAAAGTGAAGCTCTGGGCCGGGCACGGTGGCTCACACCTGTAATCCCAGCACTTTGGGAGGCCAAGGCGGGTGGATCACGAGGTCAGGAGATCGAGACCATCCTGGCTAACACGGTGAAACCCCGTCTCTACTAAAAATACAAAAAATTAGCCAGGTGCCGTGGCGGGCGCCTGTAGTCCCAGCTACTCGGGAGGCTGAGGCAAGAGAATGGCGTGAACCCGGGAGGCGGAGCTTGCAGTGAGCCGAGATCATGCCACTGCACTCCAGCCCGGGTGACAGAGCGAGACTCCATCTCAAAAAAAAAAAAAAAAAAAAAAAAAAAGAAAGTGAAATTCTGGCAGTCCACATAAATAAATACATATAAACATAAACTACAAAGAGGCTACATCAGATTCAAAGGCCTAATCCAGAGGCTCAAAGTACCAAAACCAAGAAAAGGAGGAACAAAACTAAATGAAGGCTTGTCTTCAAGTTTAATGCTTAAGAACTGTAAGATCCTTATTTACTCTAATGAGCTGTAAGATGGTACATACTAGTTGTGGGGAGGCTTAGCCTGTCAGTAGATTTTCAAGTGATCATAGCTGTAGTCAGAACAAGGAAGGGTTGAAGGGTAAGGAGTGGGCCTGGAAGAAAACAGAAGGAAAGTATTGTCAAGAACAGTGTCCATGGACAAATGCAGCATCTGCTGTCTCGTGGGCTTATACATTACATGGGTTAGAATATGTTGTTTTAGGGAAGTCCATGTAATAGCTTCACAACAAATAAATGGCTTCTCAGTTTTGCACCTGAGGGAGCTGAGACCCGAGATTGCTGAAGTGTCTTGTCCAAAGTCACATACCAGCTGCACTTGTCATATGCCTCTTTCTCTCAGTTGACTCCACTTCCTTGACTGCTCCGCTCTATTTTGCAGGAATCTGACTCCCGAAAACTACATTTTCCAGGCCTCCCTGGCTCCTAAATTTCCACTGGGCTTGACCAATGAGGGACACTGAGATAAGAGTGAAACCAGAAAAGGAGAAACTATGGTGTCCTCTCCTTCTGTCTCAGCTTTGGTGCTACCTGGAGTAGTGGCTGGGTCTTTGTGATTCCATAATCTGCTGCTTAACCTTCCTTCTAGAGTCGAAGCTCCCGCTGAGTGAGTCCTCCTCACAGATCCCTGCTCCATAGGTTGGCACTGGTAAAACCACCCCATCCTTTATCACTCAGTCCTAGGGGTAGGAGTGTCATTCTGAAGCAGTCAATTCCATGTTTTTAGTTTTTTTTTGAAACCATATCTATAACTGTCTTTCTGTATTAAATGTCCTTTAATAAGCTACTTGCTATGAACTATGAGTCTTTATTTCCTGACTGCACCCTGACAGATACATGATACATCTTTTTTTTTTTTTTTGAGGCAGAGTCTCACTCTGCCACCAGGCTGGAGTGCAATGGCACAATCTCGGCTCACTGCAACCTCCAACTCACTGGTTCTGGTCGAGCAATTCTCCTGCTTCAGCCTCTCGAGTAGTTGGGATTACAGGCATGTGCCACCACGCCCAGCTAATTTTTATACTTTTAGTAGAGATTGGGTTTCATCATGTTGGTCAGGATGGTCTCGATCTCCTGACCTCGTGATCCACCTGCCTTGGTGTCCCAAAGTGCTGGGATTACAGGCGTGAGCCACCGCGCCCCGCTCAGGTATATCTGGATAAGAAAACTCAGGAACCCTGGCCCACTGGTACATGGCTCATCTAATATGAAAAGGCAAGAATTGCAAGGTTCTAAACCAGGGATGAAATGTTTTTTCCTGTAAAGCGCAGGTAGTTCACATTTTAGTATTTGGGGGCTTTAGAACCACAACTACTTAACTTTGACATTATAGCATGAAAGTGGCCACAGACAATACATACAAACTAGAGGCATTGCTGTGTTCCAATAAACCTTTAGGCAGTGAGATGGATTTAGCACATGGGTCTTAGTTTGCTGACCCTTGCGTGAATTGGAACAAGGCATTACAGCAATTAACCACATAGGTTGAATGAGAGGGTATATACCGGAGTTTTATCAAGTAACTTGATTCATTTTCCTTTTTGCCAGAGAGGTTCTGAAAAGAATTCAGCATACACAGAGTTAGCCGGCTTCTGACTTACAGCTTTGGGAACCCATCTGGATTGGTGGGATGCTAATCACAGACACTGAGAGGAACTGAGGGTGGAATCAAATGTTTTGCCCCATTTCCTCAAGCTTATCAATGAGAATAGAATCTAGCACTTGCAGTAATTGGATTATTTTGAGTAAGAGAGAGGGAGAGAGGAAGACAGAACGACAATTAGGAATTAGGAGGTTTGCTTTTTGGCTAGTAACAGTAACTTTCTTTGGTGGTGCAATAATATTTGGAGTAACCTGCTAAATTAATTAAAAGCTACCTTTTGTTTCTGCTTTACAGAGAAACTGCGTTTTTTATGCAAGCATATTTACAGGAATTTTTAAATTCTGAAAAGTAGGTTGCTGTCAATTTAGGAATGAGAAAACCCAGGTCCTTTAAATCAATGTAACTATATGAATTTGGAAAAGTTCCCTCCATTCTCCAGACTTTAGTCATAGTCTTTTAAGGTCTTGGTTTTCATCATGTCATGTTGATCTTCTTTGTAGAGCGTCTTCTGACCCTTTGGGTCTATGGGTTCAATTTTCAGGGCTAGAGTGAACCAGGCAAAGGCACTATTCATGAGGATTTGTGCCAGAGTGCAAGATACTAGAACTGAGCTGAATCAGAAGACGTACCAACCTGGAGAAGCATAGCGCAGCTTAATAAAACATTGAAGTGGCCAGGCGTGGTGGCTCACACTTGTAATCCCAGCACTTTAGGAGGCCGAGATGGGCAGATCACAAGGTCAGAAGTTCGAGACCAGCCTGACCAACATGGTAAAACCCTACAAAAATTGACCGGGCATGGTGGTGTGTGTTTGTAATCCCAGCTACTCAGGAGGCTGAGGCAGGAGAATCGCTTGAACTCCAGAGGTGGAGGTTGCAGTGAGCCAAAATTGCGCCACTACACTCCAGCCTGGGTGACAGAGCAAGACTCCATCTCAAAATAAACAAACAAACAAATAAATAAATAAAAAACATTGACGTGTGCCTCATGTTCAGAAAGGGGAAGTAGCAGGGGGAACTACAGGAAATCCACTTCTGGAATTTCTAGAAGTGACGTGTGAGAAGACATGTGGAGTGTGATAGGCGAAGAAAATTAGGGCTCAAACTGGAAATAAGAAGCCCATTTTTGAGGCTATGTCTTGCCACTTACTTATTGTGGAGGTATCAAAACAAATACCTCTTCATGTGGCGACTGAAGGCTAATTTAGGGTGAGTAATTATTTGTACATTAAAAAATTATTTTGACCATATGCCAATTGCTCTTCATTCTAAAATCATAATGTACTGTGGATATATGTACAGGAATGGCAGGCACCGATCTATCAGTCTGCGAGTATGTGTGTGTATGCCTGTGCCAGAGGAGGCCTATGCTCCAGGGCATTTTCCCTCAAATGCTTTCAAAGCCTGAGCCCTCAGTGTTGGATGCATTACTTTCTGTCTTGATTAGAAGCCAAAATGGGCTGTCTAAATAAATAGCCGGAAACAAAACATACATTTGTACTTTAAGCACTCATTAATAATTTATAATGATTTTCTAAGAGGTGTCAGATAGGTATTGCGTGAAAGATTTATTGTCAAATGGACCAGTTAATCTGGCTTTTTTCTCACTTAACTATACATGGGCATGTTTAGAAGTCAGAGTTGAATAATTACACATATGTGCATATACACACTCACAGACAGACATGTGGCTACATTCACACATGAGCATACCTATATAAAGATATGTCACACGTCTTATATAATCCATCAAATATTTATTCAGTGGTTGTCATGTATAATGCATTGTGCTAGTATATATGTCTGTGTGTGTGTGTATTCACACACACACACACACATGAACTGACTGCTTATAAATAGCAAAGTTTAAACATGAAGGGATATAATTCAAACATTTATACCAAAGGTTTAAGTGATACATAACACACACTCTAAAACATTCTTTAAACATTCTTTGACAAAATAAAGCTAAACCTAAGATACATTTCCAAATCAAATGTAAATGATTTTGGTGCCATCTGTGTTTTGTATTATGAAAGCCACTGAGGGTGTTTTTTTATTGTGTTTTTAGCTTGCCTACCACATGGTCAGTGCTACGCACACATACGCAGATGCCCTCATGAAGCTTACAATCTAGTGAAATTTTTAAAAGCCCTAGTACTGACCTGAGCTCTGAATTATAACTTATAATGTAGGATGAAATAGCTGAAATAAACCTCAGAAATCATGTATGCTAATTGTTGGTTATTCTAAAATATAAAACATAGCTTTAGCAAAAGAGATGTGATCTGTGAAAAGTTACTCTAGCGGGTAACTAAAGTTACTGGTTGGAACTGAAACCAATGGTCCTCTGGGTCTTCTCAGGCTCGTACTACTTCCTGCACACTCCTGGAATTTGAAGCCCTGGAAGTTTTACCCTTGTGCTTGTCAGATTTGTAAACATTTCCAAAGATTCCCCCAGGAACCACTTCGGAGTCTGGGTTGTGGCACAATTGCAACTGGAGAAGCCCCACTTTTATCTGTTTTATTCGAATACCCTTTTGGAAAAAAGGGACTCTGCTGTTTGCTAAAATAAATATTAAAAGCCTAATTTCTGAGGAGGCATCAAAGACTGAGGTGGGAGTTGAAACTAACTCAAACTTCTTGTCTAGGTTCTCCTGCTAGATAGATAAGCAGACCCCATTCATGGAAGAGTTTCCTGTGGCTTGCAGGGGAAGTTACTTGCCTCAAATAATAGACTAACATAGAGCCCCAATGTCTTGTCTTCAGCTCCAGCTCCCTTGATTGTACCCCACCTCAAACCACAGATAAACCTACTATGTTTCTGAAATCGTAACAAAAACAAACAAGCAAAATACCACATTTGCTTTCCTTCAAGGACTTCAGAGGACAATCGGGGTGAAACTTTTTGTACAAGTGCAAAACTTAGGTTTTGCATATATATAGTGCAATGGTTTTGCACATATAGTGGTGTTGCATATATAGCAAAAAGTTAGGTTTTGCATATATAGTGCAATGCTGGATCATGGTCAATGGAGTCATGAATCTGGGGAAATTCATAAGTGAACGGCAGACAAAGGTGGCGTGGTTTTGTGACTGTAGTAACGTGTTTGAATTCTGGAATCGAGACTGATTTAACTTTTGGAATTAAGCAATTCATTATGAATTTAGTTTCATTATATATAAACTAGGGGACTGTAGACAAAGAACTAGTGCTTGGATTAGAAGACATGGCTTTAAGATACAGCAGAACCACTCTGGAGCTGTGAGCCCTGTATCTTTTAACCCCTCTCAAGTCTATGATTCTCTGTACATAAAGTATTCGTGAAGTGGCTTTTGAGAGGATCAAAAACAAGTGAAGGGCAAACCAGAATTTCTCTAGGTTTATTTCTGTGGATTTGATTCTGATTTCATCAGTCACCTGGGTACTTATTAAAATGAATGTTCTGATCAGAGTCTGTCTTCAACAGCCACAGAACCTCTGAAAATTTTGTTTTTTTCTTATTATCTGAAGGCCATTAAAGAAAATTAAAGATTCTGATCTTAAGTAGCATTGATGTTTGGTCCTCAAACACTCACACATTATTATGGTAAAATTGAATTACTCAGGTCCTTCTAGGGTCTTTTAGTGCCCATTGTAGTCATCCTCCAGAACTTTCACTGTGGCTGCTAGACAACCTCCTTTCTCTTCTCAGTTGTGCCTGTTGACCTTTCCTTTCCTTTATAGAACTCATGAAGGTTAAGAATCATTAACATTCCTTTGACTTTTTTAATAGCACCATCAAATAGTCAATCACTGGGTTTTATTTTGAATTGCAAGTTCAAAGTTAAGCCAGAATTCAATGAGATTAGAGGGCTACTGCTTCTTAGAGGGGGGCATTGAAAACAGGAAATGCACTGTCAGTTTTTTTGAGACCCTCTATTGGATGTGTTGGCTTTTATGTGTCAAAGAAAAAGTTTACAATGAAAGAAAAATGCTTTCTCAAATCTGGCCCAGAAGAGGGAGAGACTGTATGTTCACAGTCTTCTCCCACTTCCTGCATGGGGTGTTGGACTTGGTTTCCAACTCTCTGGCATGTGGAACTCACTACCATGCTCAGACCACCCCCGAGGCTCTCCACTGCCTGCAGCATAAATTCCTAATGCTTAGGCTTAGTATTCGACAGCTTCCCTCTGTGGTTCTTGTCAGGCCTTTGAGCCCAAGCCTGCACGTATACATCCCCTGGTTCGATCCCAGGTTTCGGCACCAAATTTCAAGCACGTCCATGTGAAGAGACCACCAAACAGGCTTTGGGTGAGCAATGAAGCTTTTAATTCACCTGGGTGCAGGTGGGCTGAGTCCAAAAAGTGAGTCAGTGAAGGGAGATGGGGAAGGGGTTGTTTTATAGGAGTTGGGTAGGTAATGGAAAATTACAGTAAAAGGTGGTTATCTATTGTTAGCAGAAGAGGGGGTCACAAGGTACATGGTGGGGAGATCATAAGACTCATTGTCCAGAAGAAGAATGTCACAAAGTCTATTGATCACCTAAGGTAGGGCAGGGACAAGTCACAGTGGTAGAATGTTGTAATGTTGGTTAATCAGTTCAGGCAGGAACTGGATGTTTTACTTCTTTGTGGTTTTTTGGCTGCTCCAGACTTCTTGCTCCTGCAGGCCATCTGGACATATATGTGCAGGTCACTGGGATTATAATGGCTGAGCTTCAGCTTAGAGGTCTGACAGTTCTCACTCATATTTCAAATCTGATTTTTCAGTATTCTTACATATCAACTGTCTATTGCAGTACAGTGGGTGATGTCAACCCTTCCAAATATGGCAAGCTGTTTCCTACCACTGGGCTTTTGCTTATGCTTTTTCTAGTCTGTAATACTTTTTCTGCATGTATAGATATATATAGACAGCAGTTGGAGGCAGACAAGTCTCAGGCAGATAGGGGAAGGTCCCCAGTGAAACTGCACCTTCAAGCCAAAGACATTTTAAAGCCTGAAATACATGGACAAGATTGAGAACCTCTTTTCCCATTTGGTGTGCTTTCCTCTGATTGATCCCCACCCTTCACCCAATTTACATATACCTATCCTTCCCTAATTTTTTTTTTTTTTTTGAGATGGTGTTTCACTCTTGTCCCCCAGGGTAGAGTGCAATGGCGTGATCTTGGCTCAGTGCAACCTCTGCCTCCGGGTTCAAGTGATTCTTCTGCCTCAGCATCCCGAATAGCTTGAATTATAGTCACGTGTCACCATGCACAGCTAATTTTTGTATTTTTAGTAGAGACAGGGTTTCACCATGTTAGCCACCTAATTGGTTTTATATATTGTCATGCTCACCTTTGAACGGTGCCTTTGTTTTAGCTTTTTTTGCATACTCACAAACCAATCAGCACATACTTCCCCTTTCTGAGCTGATAAAAACCTTGGATCCAGCTAGACTGAGGGAGAGACCCTCTGACTTCTGGTGGGGAACCTCCCTCGCATCCCATCTCTGCTGAGAGCTGTTTCATTGCTCAATAAAGCTTTTCTCCACCCACCTGACCCTTCAATTGTCAATGTAACCTCATTCTTCTTGGATGCAGGACAAGAACTTGGGACCCTGCCGAATGCAGGTATGAAGAAAGCAGTAGCACAGTGGCCCTCTGCCCTCTGCCAGTGGCAGGCAGCCACCCCATGTAATGGGAAGCAGCCCCCGGGGCTGAATTAGCCCTGGAGCCATGAGGTGAGTAGACAGGGCATCTCCTGCAGTGAGCTGAGGCCCAAAGAAGACCAGGCAGTGTCATTGCCAGCCAGAGGTCTCCAGCTGGCAAAGTGACAGAAAAAAATTCCTATGTGCCATATATATATATGATTATATATTTGAGTAATAGTCTTCTAGTCTTCTTTCAGGTATAATTGAATATCATCTGTTTAATCAGACTTTCCTCAATTTTGTAGCCTCAATGATCTCTTGTTATTCCTGCACTCTTATTAAGGTTTTCATCTGTGCCTCACATTTGGTACATATTTCATTTTATTATAATATGCACTTTTATTATTACTCATGACCTTTGTCTAGATTCCTGTGCAAACTACAAAACCGTATTTTTTTATTCTGTCTGACCCACCCTTTAAACTGTAGAATAGCATTTAGGATTTAATGGAGGATTGGGTTATTATAAAGATAATTATCATCACTACTGACAGAACTATGATATGAATAGAAGATGTTTCATAAAAGTTAAGATTATGTCAGAGAGAGGGAGAGAAAGAATTGTTCCTGGTGGGGTTCCGGACACCATAAAACACTCAATGATTATGGCACACAGAGGTGGCTATGCAGGGAACTTTCTCTAGCAAAGACCTCCAGTGGGAGAATTCAGCTTCTGAAACAGCCCAAGTGTGAGATCAAGCTTTGAGATATTCAATGAGAAATGAATTTCCCACTTTCCTATATTGACCTTCAATGGCTATGAAGCAAGCTAGGTCACAATGTGAATCCACATAGGCTGATCCTATAGACATCTAGTTTGAAGAGATGTTCACTCAGATGTCTTCCATTGGAAATAGACATACTTGTCAAAGGGATTTGAACACATGAGCCTAGATTGAATGGTTGTGAATCAGATATAACTCCTGAAATTGAGATCATTCAAGGCAGGGAATACCAGCAGTATTTTTCAATACCAAATGGTACTCCTGCTTCCTTCCCATCATATGCAGCATGTGACTAAACACTTGGCCCAAGAAGAGAGTAGTCTTAGAAACTTTCTATTATTCTGTGCATGACTTAGGGAAAGTCATTCATATTTGTTTTACTTTGACTTTTGCTTTTATCTTTATCTATTAATTAGGCTAATTGTTACCTCCTCTCTCAGCTTCAAAAGGTAGTACCTTTCCCATAAGAACAAGGATGTGGCCAAAGTTTGTAAATATTAAGATGCCACTTTCCTCAATGTATAGATTATACTTATGTGAAGATGTTATTATGGACAGCAGCATTTCCATTGTCATAGCCACCATCATAGACTGCCTCAGAGGTAGTGAGGATCTTCTAAGAAGGGTCAGGATAAACTTCAGCTCAGGGTTGAATGATTGATGAAAATAACAACTGCATCTTTCATGAACCTAGAATGCTTTCATCTGCATGTAGCAAAATATCTCATTGTCTTGTTCACTCATCTATCACAAGTGCTTAGGAGAGGGTAAAGTGCTTGGACAGAAGTCACCCAACATTTCACTTGAATAAAACTTATTCTCTTCACGATGAAGAAAGTCTAATGGCAGATGGCTACTCATAAGGATTCTGTGATTTAACAAAATTAGGGCCTTTATATCTGGGGCTTTCTGGGGTTTTCCATCACTGATATATGTTATTTCTGCAAGACTGAGCCATCATGTTTGTGTAAAAGCAAAGGGAAAATGGGTGGGTGGATGTTAACCTCCAGAAAGCCCCCAGTGAATATCTACTTATTCTGCTTTCCCCAGAATTGTGTCACATGATAGCCTGACCTGAGATACTGAGGATGTATCTATCCCCAACTCTAAAGTGGAGATGAGACAGGGAAAAGGGGGGTCAGGAAGAGTTATTGGGTATAAAGACATGAGTAACTGTTTAGGGTCCTCCCTCAGTTGGCAACATCCTGGGGTAGGTCTTGAGGGCTGAGATAAACAGGGTCTAGTCTCAGGCCTCAAATGACTTATGAGGACATGTGAAAAAGACCATCAAAAAAGAAAGAGAGAGGAAGAAGGAAGAAGAGAAGACCTGCTTTCATTACTAGCAACCAGGCTACATTATTAAGGATCTGTACATTAACACTGAGAAACTTTGCAATTTATTTATTTATTTATTTATTTATTTATTTATTGAGATGGAG